>NC_000004.12:86800168-86951684 GCF_000001405.40 Homo sapiens | reverse complement strand
TGCCACTGCACTTCAGCCTGGTGACAGAGGGAGACTCCGTCTCAAAAAAAAAAAAAAAAAAGAAAAAAAGAAAAAAGAAAAAGAAAAAAAAGTTCCCTAACATCCCCCATCTTTACCTTTTCCTATTAATATGAAATGTACAATATATATTCAAGTTAACTACATGTGGATCAAAATACTAAAAAGTCAAAGATGTAAAATGGGTTGCAAGTTAAGAGGGTCAAGCAGCTAACTAAATGTGTGAATCTGGCTGTGCAGAGAACTGTAACGAATTGAAAAGCGTCAGTGCTTTCTCAATTTTTTTTTTTTGTGACATCAAGTCTCTGGGGCAAACGGACAAAGCAGATGATGTCTGCAGGAGGAAATTAGATAGGAGCTCTGGCTGACCTTTAGGCTGGGGGGCGGGGAATCAACATCGTGGCACACCTGAAAAGCATTTGATGGCACACCAATTGGGAAGTTCTGAATTAGAAAGCCTGTGTTCCGCTTAAAAGAGCCGAAGCTATTCAATTCTTTCTGAGCATTGCTATATGACAATGCAAGCCCAGGGTTGCTAAATCTTACATTTTTCATGAGAAGATAGAAGATTGTTATGTAAAAAACACTGGCAGATAATTTCTTTCAGAATTCCGTGACAGGCTAACCAAAACCCATATGTTGACCAGATCTGTCCCACAGTCCACCAGCTTACAAGTTCTGATTTAAATGCAAAAATGAAATCGTACAAGTGCCAGCAAAGAACACATGACATTATTTTCACAATCTTGGAGGAGGAAAGACCTTTCTAAGCACAATCAAGCCAGAACCCATAAAGGACAAGACATTTAACTACATAAAAATGTAAAACGTATGTGTAAACCCAACATTATGAATAAACCTAAAGACAAATGACAACAGCTTTCCCCCAGGCTCTAGCAGAATGTGAACTGCAGCAGCCAGGGTCAACTAACTGTCTTCCCTTTGGTGAGGGGAGAGAGTAAACCAAGTTTAGCAGCCCACAATGATGACCAGGAATTGAATAATTTCCTAAATGAACCAGAAAGGGGGAGAAGTAGGAGAACATTTGGGATGGTCCACAATTGCAGGCACCATCATCTATTCTGTTGCATTATAAATAAGTCTGAGTCTACATTTCTTATAATGTTTTTATTTTTTAGACTAGTGAAATGCAGTAGCAAGAAGTGGGAAAAGAATTCTATTATAAATAGAAATTATGGCTGGGCACAGCGGCTCACGCCTGTAATCCCAGCACTTTGGGAGGCCAAGGCAGGTGGATCACCTGAGGTTAGGAATTCGGGGCCAGCCTGCCAACATGGTGAAACCCCGTCTCTACCAAAAATTAGCCAGGTGTCGGGGCATGCGCCTGTAGTCCCAGCTAATTGGGAGGCTGAGGCAGGGGAATCCCTTGAACCCGGGAGGCAGAGGTTGCAGTGAGCCAAGATCATGGCACTGCACTCCAGCCGGGGCAACAATAGCGAAACTTTGTCTTAAAAAAATAATAATACCTCGGGATGAGACATGGGCAGCATCTGCCTTGTCCGGTGCTGGCCCAAGTCCCATCCCTGCCCTGCTCCCTTTCAGAACTGCACCTACTACTGGGGCTTCGCCGCGTGGATGGCCTATTACATCAATCACCCTCTCTACACTCCCCCTACCTACGGAGCTCAGCAGGTGAAACTGGCGCTCGCCATCTTTGTGATCTGCCAGCTCGGCAACTTCTCCATCCACATGGCCCTGCGGGACCTGCGGCCCGCTGGGTCCAAGACGCGGAAGATCCCATACCCCACCAAGAACCCCTTCACGTGGCTCTTCCTGCTGGTGTCCTGCCCCAACTACACCTACGAGGTGGGGTCCTGGATCGGTTTCGCCATCATGACGCAGTGTCTCCCAGTGGCCCTGTTCTCCCTGGTGGGCTTCACCCAGATGACCATCTGGGCCAAGGGCAAGCACCGCAGCTACCTGAAGGAGTTCCGGGACTACCCGCCCCTGCGCATGCCCATCATCCCCTTCCTGCTCTGAGCGCTCACCCCTGCTGAGGCTCAGCCCCTCAACCCGGTGGCATTCTGGGGGAGGAGTGGGGCCCACAGCTCTCCAGCACCCGGAATAAAGCCCGCCTGCCCCAGTCGGGAAAAAAAAAAAAAAAAAAATAATAATAATAATAATTAATAAATAGAAATTATGATAAAAGTAACAATAAAAACAACTCTGCAATTGCTAGAATGTTACTACAAGGGGTAGTAGTAACATTTAAAAACATTTAATACGTTTTTGGAGTAGCGCAGAGGCTCACGCCTGTAATTCCAGCACTTTGGGAGGCCGAGGCAGGGGGATCACCTGAGGTCAGGGGTTAGAGACCAGCGTGGTCAACATGGTGAATCCCAGATACTTGGGAGGCTGAGGCAGAATTGCTTGAACCTGGGAGGTGGAGGCTGCAGTGAACTGAGGTCACACCACTGCACTCCAGCCTGGGCAACAGACTGAGACTCCATCTCAAAAAAAAAAAATATATATATATATATATTTTTGAATAGCTAATACTTTAAATAAAAACTAATCAGTGATAACAATTCTTTCCGAATGTCAAATGAGTTATTATGTAAAACTGCTTCAAAATGTTAATATGATCCCCTCAATCAACACTGATCAATTACTATATGCAAGAAGGCACTAAATTGTGTGTGCAGAGTTGGAGGGAGAGATGTGAAAGGGGCAAAATACAAATATGAAGGAATTCCCTCCTTCACAGCTTTCAGGATGAGATGGATTTGTTTATTTATTTCAAGCACAGGCTGAACATGTGTATGCTTTCCCCAAATCAGTGCAATCTTGTTATCCTGAACACAGCATTAGAATGCTGATTTAATCATTTAAATTAACATCCACATTTTTAAAAAAAATGAGTTAACAGACTCAGCGATTGCTAGATTTAAAAGAAAATATGTAGCCAGTCCAACAAGTTTGACTTCATGTAGAGAAAACTGAAAATTTCAAACATTTTCTTGCACCCGTGAGTTCTTAAGTTGCAAAATTGAAAAAGACCAAACTTATTCATTGAAAAGTAGATTATAAAATTAAATATCAGCATGTCTTTGAATCATAGATTCTATGCTTACCTGTTGCCACTGCTGTTGACTCTTTCTGTAAATGCCATTGTTTCCAGTCAATGCAAAGTGGCTAGTCTGTTCATCTGAAAGAGAAACAAAGAGTAGCCTGTGAACATTAGCCTGTGAGTAAATTCAGGGATACGCATGACCTGTAAGAAGCTTTATTGGAGACAGAATTCCAAGTTCTCATTTGAATTAGAAAATGGTTCTCCAATTCCCAAGTTGTATGAACAAACTATCTAGTATATATCAAAGGCCAATTGCACTTTTAACTGTGAGGCTGCTTCTCAAAGCCATTTCAGCAAGAAAACAATGTGCACAAGTTTACCATAAGGAGGAGGGGGAGGAGAAAAGGAAATACCATTCCCCTGGTGCCTACTTTGTGCCAAGCATTGTGTTAAATATAAATAAGCCCTTTTAAAAATGGCATTTCATTAATACATTACAATAAAGTTGCAAGGCAGATACTAATATCCCATTTTATAGTTAAGAAAATGGAGACTCAAACACACACAAAAAAAAACAACCAAGAAATGTAGACTTAGTTTTAAGTAATTTGCCTAAGGTCACAGGTTGTGTCAGCATCCTCACTAGAATTAAAAGGAAGAAAAGGTAAGAGTGTCAACTATGCAAGAGAAAGGAAATCAACAGGTCATTCTCACATAAGAATGCAACACTTAAGAAAAGTGGGTCCCAGTGACAATCAATCTTAAGATTTTACTTCCACTCATTAAAGGTACTTAATCAAAACAAAAAAAAAACAAACAAAAACCGAAATAAAACAACTATTGGGCATTCTTTCAAAACAAGACTGAATTTGGGGGAAAAATTATTATCCAATCTGGGCAGATAGTCTTGGTACTATCTTGGGTAACTCTGGAAACAACCTCTCTTTATGGTTAACACTGTCTACAGCTGTTTCCTTTTCCCTCTCTAGTGAGTATTTATAAATTGACTACACTTATCCTAACTTGCATTAAATAGTTTGTTTTACTTTTCAAACATCCTTAAGGCAAAGAAAGGTATGTTACTAAATTATCTTAGTACAGACTGGACAAACCATTTGATACAAATGGAAACACACATTAAATTTGTAATCATTTTAACTTGCCTCTGTTTAAGAGGCTGTTACAACTTTGGCTGAGGTTGAAACACTGAATATAGTCCTTCACAGCTCTATTCTTACTCCCGATAAGGTCTTTTATCTCCCTCTCCATGAAATTTAAATTGCTGACTTGCTAACTACATGTTTCCATACTAGCAGACATAATTTGCCACTCTTTCTCCTCTCTCAAAAGATTGCAGCATGGATGTTAAAATATTCTAGTTAAACTCACACTAGCAGAGATCTACTTTTCAGGGTCAAACATGTGTCACTCTTCTGACCAGCAATAGTGGCCCCCTAGGCAAGTTTTCTCAATTCTCCAACTCAATCCCCACTAGTCTCCCTTCCCTTCCCTCACCACTTACTATCGCTCACTTTCTCCTTTTTCTCTTTCTCTGCATCGCTAGCTCTACCCCTGCCTTTGCTGCTCACACTTTCTCTCTCTTGACTTGCAGGGCTGGCACACAGTAAGTGATCAATAAAACACTATTGTATTCCTGTTGGCATTATTCTTCATAACACTTCTGTAGAGGCATCTGAAGAGTCCCTGATGGCAGTTCCCCACATTACCCTCCCAGTGAAGATGCTCAACCTGCTTGCAACCCAATAGCACCCACCCCTAGGGCTCTTTGGTGGAGAGTGATAACAGGAGAAAAGGAGACAGGTTGGGCTGTTGGGTGGCTATCAATCTGAGAGGGGTCCTGAGTTCACTTGTTTGTTGACTGACTGACAGAACCAACAAATGTATCCTGAGCATCTGCTGTAAGCCAGGTACTAAGAATAAAGAGAGTGGGCCGGGTGTGCACCTGTAATCCCAGCACTTTGGGAGGCCAGGGTTGGCTGAATGCTTGAGCTCAGGAGTTCAAGACCAGCCTGGGCAACATGACAAGACCCGTCTCTGCTAAATATAAAAATAAATAGCCAGGTGTGGAGGTGCATGCCTGTGTTCCCAGCTACTCTACTTAAGAGGCTGAGGTGGGAGGACTGCTTGAGTAGGGATGCAGGTGGGGGTGGGTGGGGGGTGGGGGTGATGTAGGTTGCAGTGAGCTGAAATTGCACCACTGCCCTCCAGCCTGGGTAACACAGCAAGGCCCTGCCTCAAAAAACATAAAAAATATAGTGAAGAAAAGACTCTTGCTACCATTGAGCTTACATACTACAGAAGGTAAGCAAAGACACATTCAGTAAAATATATAGATGTTAGAAAAGCAAAATGGGAGTGCAGAGAGGAATCAAGGTAGGGTATTGCGGTTCTACGTAGGGTGGTCAGAGAACACAACATTTGAGCAAAGACTTAAAGTGAGGAGCAAGCCATAGAGATCTGTAGTGGAAAAGGGTCCTCGGGACTGATAAGTAGAAAACTGAAGGAGTGAGCAACCCCCCAGGTCTCACCGCTCAGGAGCACTACAGATACATCATAATGAGATGCCTTAAAACATCAAAAAGAACCACATGGGTTAATCTAAGCAAGATCTAAATAAAATGTACAATGTGAGCCAATTTTTTGTTTAATGCTTTAAGTTTATGCATACACACAAAGTTTGGAATAGCATATACCAAACTGTTAATAGTAGCTTTCTGGAAAGGGAAGAGCTTTGGTGAAGAGGCCAGAGCAGGAGATTTAAAAGGGCATTTTCACCTTTTATTCTGTTATGCTATCAATCTTTCAATATAATCCTCCATGGGCCAAGCATGGTGGCTCATGCCTGTAATCCCAACACTTTGGGAGGCCAAGGTAGAAGGACTGCTTAAGTTCAAGATCAGCCCTGGAAACACAGTGACACCTTGTCTCTACAAAAATAGAAAAATTAGCTGGGCATGGTGGCACATGCCTGTAGTCCTAGCTACTGAGGAGGCTGAGGCAGGAGGATTGGTTGAGCCCAGGAAGGAGGAAGCTGCAGTGAACTGTGATCTGTGCCACTGCACTGCAGCCTGGGTAACAGAGACCCTGTCTAAAAAAAAAAAAAAAAAAAAAAAATTGGGAAAGGCTGGGCAAGGTGGCACATGTCTGTGGTCCCAGCTACTCAAAAGGCTAAGGTGAGAGGGTAGCTTGAACCCAGGAGGTGGAGGCTACAGTGAGCTGTGATCACACCACTGCACTTCAGCCTGTGTGAAAAAACAAGGCCCTGCCTCAAAAAAAAAAAAAAAAAAAAAAAGGAAAAGAAAATAAGGAAGATACTAACTTGGCTCTATTTAAAAACAGAGTAGTGCTGTACAGCAGAAAGCAGCTAGGCTCAAGTGAGCTGCATGATCACCTTGGACAAGTTAAGCTCTATCAGCCTCCATGCCCCTATGTGTAAAACAGAGACCTTCCTACCTTCCAGAGTAACTGAGAAGCATATATTATATCACCTAGCTAAAATACCTAGCACACTGACACATGGTAGCAGCTATATCCACACTAAATTTTATGTGAATGATGCAAACTTTATTTCATTTTGGAATGTTCCATGGCAGGAATGTACATTACTATCTAAGTGACCTTTCTATAGTCCTCCCTCTCTTGCTTACCAAATTTATTCAGAAATTAAAATGTCATGTGTATCAAACTGCTTTTCTTCCTCAAACAATTCATAATTCAAGAGTGTGTATACACATACATGTGAGTATATACACATATATGTAAGTTTTATGGACACTCACACCACATACATACATAAATAGAAAAAAAGGGAGAAGATGAATATAAAAAGTGACTCAAGATGTTTTCAAATATTCTGTTCACTTAGGTCATTAAGTGCTTCCAAACCTAGTACACTCTGGGGAACCTACTCTCAAGAGTCTTTACCACATGCTGGTAAAAGACCTGCTTTGCAACTAGCTATAAGACCTCGAGGCTGGGCGCCGCGGCTGTCTGTAATCCCAGCACTTTGGGAGGCCGAGGCGGGCAAATCACGAGGTCAGGAAATCAAGACGATCCTGGTTAACATGGTGAAACCCCATCTCTACTAAAAATACAAAAAAAATTAGCCAAGCGTGATGGCGCGTGCCTGAGGCAGGAGAATGGCGTGAACCTGGGAGATGGAGCTTGCAGTGAGCTGAGATCGCGCCACTGCACTCCAGCATGGGCGACAGAACAAGACTGTCCAAAAAAAAAAAAAACCTCCAGAAAATTATTCTTCTTAAGGCCTCAGCTTTCTCATCAGTAATACAGGGGCTTCATGGGATTGTCGTCGGGGACATAATGTTTGTAAAAGTTTTAGCACAATGACTGGCTCATGGTAAACATTCAATAAATGATAGTGGTTGTTCTAGTTATTTTTTTGGCTGGCCAAACCATGTGCTGGGGCAATTCCACACACTAGGGAAGACTTTTTTTTTTTTTTTTTTTTTTTACAGGGTCTTGCTCTGTCACCCAGGCTGGAGTGCAGTGGCACAGTCATGGCTCACTGCAACCTCAACCTTCTGGGCTCAAGTAAACCTCCCACCTCAGCCTTCAGAGTAACTGGGACTACAGATGTGTGCCACCATGCCTGGCTTATTTCATTTTATGTTATTATTGTTTTTTTTATTTTGGGTAGAGTTTCGTTCTTGTTGCCCAGGCTGGAGTGCAATGGCAGGATCCTGGCTCACCACAACCTCCGCTTCAGGGTTCAAGCGATTCTCCTGCCTCAGCCTCCCGAGTAGCTGGGATTACAGGCATGCACCACCACGCCTGGCTAATTTTTTTGTATTTTTAGTAGAGACGGGGTTTCTCCATGTTGGTCAGGCTGGTCTCAAACTCCCGACCTCAGGTGATCTGCCCACCTCAGCCTCCCAAAGTGCTGGGATTACAGGAATGAGCCACTGCACCCGGCTAATTTTTGTATTTTTTGTAGAGACAGGAGTTTGCCATGTTGCCCAGGCTGGTCCCGAAAATGCTGGTATCACAGGTGTGAGCGACTGAGCCCAGCCTGGGAACTTTTCAACTGGACAAACAGAGCAAGCAGCTCCCCAGTCCCCGGACCACAATCTAGTTTCCAAAGGAGAATATGAGAAAAATTACTCTGTTCAGAGGCCTGTAGGCTAGTTAGTCCCTCGTCAACTATACTTCTCCTTTACCCAGGAATAACAGTCTCTTGGTAACAGGCAATGTGTTAGGGATAAGTCATGGGACATACATTCTGTTTTAGTCTGATTCTCTAGAACTCTACCCCTAGTAGAGAGATCTACCCCTGGGAGAGATCATAATCTCCCAGGACCCCAAACTGACCTGATCATCTACAGTTCCTCTAGGCTCTCCAATGCACATGGACCTCACAAGCTCAGAAATCCATAAAGGAATACAATTTCCCCAACTATCTCTTCTACACTTTGAAGTTTTGTTCAACGGGGTTCTGGTGCTACGCTACACTCAAGTACACATCCCACATATTGTTGGCTCCCTCTGATCATTAGGTGCTCAGCTCCAATGACATTCTCAGAGAGGCCTCCACTGACTCTCAAAGCTAATGTGACAATGCTGTCCCTCAAGGACTCTCTCCAGCCAACCCACAACTCTCTACTCCATTATGCTTATTATATGGGTTAGGAATGTGTTTAGCTGTAAGTAATAACTGTTTAAATTAATAGAAGTTTATGTTTCTCCTACAGCAAGTCTAGAAGAGGGTGGCTACTTGGCATACTGTTAGCTATGCAATGAGGCATCAGGAACTCTGACTTTTTCTGCTTTGCCTATTTAGCATGTTGTCTTCATGCTTGCCATGGTCCATCTTATGAACGAGAGATCTCATTCATATTCAAGGCACGAAGAGGAGGAGAAGAGGAAGGTGTGGCTTTGCCTGACATATTTGTCTATTTTTGCCAAAAATCTTTACCATCAAAAAACCAGAACTAGGTCACCCAGGTTCTTCTAGCTTTAAAGGAAGCAGGTAAATCAAGATACAAACTGTCACCACTGGCTGAGAACAAACATGATCTATTACCTAAGACTGGACAAATGTAGTCTCTTAGCAATTAAAGTTCTTTTAGTGACAACAAGAACAAACAGGAATGGCTACTGAGTAGGAAAATAGCAGTGCTGGCCACACTTCTATTTTTTCATAGTACTTACTACTTACTATCTGGAGTTAACTTATGCTAAATAAATAAATGTTTATTGCTTATCTGTGACTCACTGCTTATCTGGACAGATGAGTCACCTGATTCTGTGTAACCATAAAGAAGCTAGGAAACACAGAAAAGCACATGGATATTGGTAGAAAATGTCTCTACCTCATTCCCTGTGGGCTGGTAAAATATCGTACAAGGCATTGTCCTCATTTCAGAATTTGGACCCTTACAAAAGTTTCTTGGAACAAACTCAAAGTTTGCCATTTATTCAAAGTAAACCAATTACTTCATCTTATGAGACAATATTTACCATAAAAAAGAAAAAAAGACTGAGAACACAATCTCTTCCTTCAGGAGTAATAATAGCAAACATTTATGTAGCACTTACTATGCTCTGCTCCAAGAACTTGCCAAATCTTAGTACCTTTACTCTGTTCAACTACTCAATAAAGAAGATATTGCTATATTGCTCACTCCAATTTATAAGGAAAAAAAAAAAACGGAGGATTGGAAAGGTGTTCGGAGACAATTTCTCCATGGGTCTGTGGTATTTGTGCATATTTTTACAAGCAGAGGCATCAATTGTCTTTTTGTTTCAGATTATCTTTTTCGAGACAGGGTCTTGCTCTGTTGCCCAGGCTAGAGTACAGTGGCAGGATCTCAGCTCACCACAGCCTAGGTCAAGGCTCAAGCAATCTTCCCACCTCAGTCTCCTGGGTAGCTGGGACCACAGGCATGCAACACCATGCCTGGCTATTTTTTATTTTATTTATTTATTTATTTATTTATTTATGAGACAGAGTCTTGCTCTATTGCCCACGCTGGAGTGCAATGGCACAATCTTGGCTCACTGCAACCTCCACCCCCAAAGCAATTCTCCTGCCTCAGCCTCCCGAGTAGCTAGGATTACAGGCATGTGCTACCACGCCGGCTAATTTTTGTATTTTTAGTAGAGACGGGGTTTCATCACGTTGGCCAGGCTCAACTCGAACTCCTGACTTCCAAGCGATCCACCCGCCTTGGCCTCCCAAAGTGCTGGGATTACAGGCGTGACCCACTGCGGCCGGCCCGCCTGGCTATTTTTTAAAAAAACTTTTGTGGAGACGAGATCTCACTACGTTGCTTAGGCTGGTCTCAAACTCATGAGCTCATGCAATCCTCCCACATCAGCCTACCAAAGTGCTGCGATTACAGGCATGAGGCACTGTACCTGGCTGTTTCAAATTATCTTTAAAGATGTTTGTATGGTGAACAGCCTTGGAAAATTAGGGATAGTCTCCTAGCACTAAGGGCAGCATGTTCACTATGCAGTATAATCAAGATAAAACTCTCCCTTCACAGGTTTTGTTTTGAAACCGAGTCACGTTCTGTCACCCAGGCTGGAGTGCAGTGGCACAATCTCGATCACTGCTCACTGCAACCTCCACCTCCAGGGTTCAAGCGATTCTCCTCCCTCAGCCTCCCAAGTAGCTGGGATTACAGGTGTCCAACACAATACCCGGCTAATTTTTGTATTTTTAGTAGAGACAGGGTTTCACCATGTTGGCTAAGCTGGTCTCAAACTCCTGACCTCAAGTGATCCACCCACCTTAGCCTCCCAAAGTGCTAGAATTAGAGGCATGAGCCACCATGCCCAGCCCCTCCCTTCACAGGTTCTAATGATTAGGGGAAAGAAAAATAAAAAAAAGATAAAATCTCCCTGTGAAGAGCAGACACACTTACTGACAACTATAAAAGATTAGGAAGGCCAGGCACAGTGGCTCACATCTGTAATCCCAGCACTTTGGGAGGCTGAGGCGGGTGGATCATCTGAGGTCAGGAGTTCAAGACTACCCTGGCCAACATGGGTGAAACCCCGTCTCTACTAAAAATACAAAAATTAGCTGGTCGTGGTGGCACATGCCTGTGATCCCAGCTATTCGAGTGGCTGAGGCAGAACTGCTTGAACCTGGGAGGCGAAGGTTGCAGTGAGACAAGATTGCACCACTGCACTCCAGCCTGGGCAACAGAGTGAGACTCTGTCTCATAAAAACTCAGGATTCCCTTCCTGTTAATACAACCCACTGTTTTTGCATGTGTCACTTGGCTCTCTTCCCCTCTTCACATAACCCTTTGGAAAATTGGGGCTTAGGAAACCAGTCTAAGAAAATGTTGATATTCTGGCTACAGCTATCTTGATGAGTGATAAAGTCATTCCTCTGTAACCCAGGGGTCCATGAAACTGTGGCAGGTTAGTTAGCTTGAGAGTAGGGTAAAACCTCAGACTTCACAGGTGCTGTTGCTGTTGTTTAAAGAAGGGGTCTCACTTTGTTGCCCAGGCTAGTCTCAAATTTCCTGGGCTCAAATGATCCTTTCGCCTCTGCCTCCCAAAGTGCTAGAATTACAGGCGTAAGCAGCAGTGCTCGCTCAGCCTTCATAGTTCTTGAAAAAAGTAATTTGCCTAAGGTCTGACAGCTAGTAGGTAGCATATCCAAGATTCAAACCCAAGCTGTCTGACTCAGAAACCTTTTTAAACTCTCTGCTATACCACAGTGGTTCTCAAAGTGTTGTTCCAGAAATAACAGCATCAATATCAGCCACAAACATGTTACACATGCAAATTCTTGGGCATTACCCTAGACCTGCTGCATCAGAAACTCGGGGGACGGGTAAGAGGAGCACACCTGTGTTTTCACAAGCCTTTCAGGAGTACATTATAGGTCTGAGAACTACTGCCAGGCTGCACATATTCACTGTATCTATAAGAAGGAAATGGTATGAGTATGTTCTGACTTACATAGGGATATGCTCTAAAAAATTTATGAACTGAGCTTTCACAAGTTGAATAATAGTTTTCAAGCACTAAGGCAGCTAGTCCGTAAGGCCCTCTATTTAATTTTTAGAAAGGTAAGGATTCTTATCTAGTGCAAATAAACACCACGTGTCTGTTAAATAGGTTTGCATAATTTTTTCCTTTGGAGGCACAAATGTTCAAAATCCTAAATGAAAATACTTGTTTTTATTCCCATAGTGATCAGAAAGAATTACTTACCCAAGGAGAAACACTATTTATATTTTAGAGTCAAGCTGTAATTCTTGAAAAACAGGAAACCACACATCAACATAGCCAACACAGTGTACCATAGTAGAAAGGGCACCAGGCTTTGAGTCACAGAGTCAAGTCACTTAACTTCTTCAACTCAATTTCCTGATTTTAAAATGGAAAATGAATTCCAATTTCAGAGTCACAATTAGGCTTAAATGATTATGCCATGTGAAAGCTGTTGGTAAACAGTGAAGTGCCAATATAAGTTCCACCTGCACAGGCCCTTTCTCTTTCTTGATCATGTTACCATCACAATTTCTCCAATGCTTAGGATACCGTCTGGCTCACAGAAGCTACTCAATACTTACGCGGTATTAGGAATGAATATGAGATACTATATTAATGATGTAATTGATTCCTTCAGGCACTATTTGTCACAATAATCTCAGTCTTTTAATAGGAAAAAGTCACTCTAGCAAGAAATCCTTAGTCATGTTTAAAATGGGCCAGATAATTTAAGAAAATCAGCTGATTTTCTTCCCTTCGGGAATACTACTGAAGTTCTGTCCTAAGGCATACAACAGAAACTCCTATTAGCAACCCTGATGACCTTGGGGTCTCATGGTGTCAAGTCTATAACAATCTGTTGTCCAGATATAAACAATCATGAATAATGGATGTGTACCTACAAAGAGCCACATATTTCACATTTATTTCCATGCTGTGGTAGAATTTTAATAAATGGATTACAGAGTTTATGTAATCTATTTTAAAATCTAAGATCCAAATCAACACTATTAAATAAGCTTCTACTGTGTCTTAAAAAAAGAGACTACTAGAAAGCAACTGCCAATTAAACTTCAGAAACCATTGTTGAATTTATTATTTGAGGAAAATATCACTAATCAAACTCTGTATATTTATGGTAAATACACTTACTTTTTTCCTTTTCTTTTTTTTTTTTTTTTTTGAGACGGAGTCTTGCTCTGTGGCCCAGGCTGGAGTGCAGCAGTGCAATCTCGGCTCACTGCAACCTCCGCCTCCTGGGTTCAAGCGACTTTCCTGCCTTAGCCTCCCGAGGAAGCGTAATTACAGGAGCACGCCATCATGCCCAGCTACTTTTTGTATTTTTAGTAGAGATGGGGTTTCCCCATATTGGTCAGGCTGGTCCAGAACCGCTGACCTCAAGTGATCCGCTCGCCTCAGCCTCCCAAAGTGTTGGGATTACAGGCGTGAGCCACCACACCTGGCCCCAATGAGGTTCCTTAATTTGCACTCTCTCTAACATACTTTCTCAATCTCCCAAAAAATTAGTTAATGGTCTAGAGCCTTGAAATAAAGGAACTTTGGGCCCACAAATTACAGAGTTGAACATAGAACTCCTTCCATCAGCTTTTCAAAAAATATTGAAAACAAGTTTACCCTTTCTAAGCTCAATTTTTTCACCCCTCTTTTCAACTTTCAAGGCAATATGAAACTTCAACTAAACAATCACCTGGCTAAAGTGACTTGTAGGCCAGGCACGGTGGCTTCCACCTGTAATCTCAGCACTTGAGGAGGCAAAAGTGGGAGGACTGCTTGAGCCAGGAGTTCAAGACCCACCTGGGTAACATAGGGAGCCCCCCACCCCCACCCCCACCCCAAGCCATCTCTACCAAAAGATTTTTTAAATTAGCCGGGCATGGTGGCATATGCTTGTAATCCCAGCTATTTGGGAGGCTGAGGAGGGAGGATCCCATGAGCCCAGGAGTTGGAGGTTGCAGTGAGCTATGATCGTGCCACCGCACTCCAGCCTAAGTGACAGAGTGAGAACCTGTCTCAAAAATAAATAAAGTGACTTGTAAAGGTGCCTGATAAATATATATGTATTTTAATTGAATAGTCTCTTCCAAATTTAATCCAAAACCTAATTAAGCAAGTTCTCAGTCAATTAAAAAAGTAACTTTCACCTCAACCAGCTCTGCAAAATTCAGTTAAACCGGAGAGGAAACAGAAGAGACAGCTAGTTTTGATATAGTCTTATTACCCTATAGTAGATTAGTGATTCTGGTGGCAAAAAATGCATGCCTGTTACGCATGTAGGAGAAAGCAATGTTTACAATGGCCTGGACTTTTGTCATAAATTTTCAATCTCTAAATGATCTTTGTATTCTAATTTAACACACTGTGATTCTTCAAAATTATAGTTTTGCAAAGTTGAAGAGTTAAGCAAATGCCAAAGCCACAAATTCAATTGTTACAGTGAATAAGGCAGATTAATATTTAACAGTTCATTTTCTTGCAGGTGAAAAGCAAAGAATTCACAGCAACATACCTGCAAGTCTCACATCTCCAGCCTCAACATCCTTGTAAGTTATATTTGAAAAAAGAAAAGTCTCCAATATCTAAACTCATTTTCCCCAAAAGTCCCACTCTTCAATCTCTATTTGTCTCAAAGTGACCAAATCTATCCCAAATTATTTCCTTGGTTCTTTCTCTCCATAAAAATGGCTTAATTCCAGTGAGTTTCTCTAGTTTTACGTACTACTTATGTATTTTGTTGCTTTCTCTCATCTCCCCTTGGATCATTTTCCTTTAGTTCTCACCACTGCTTTTCTCCATATTTATCTTCAAATATTCAAGTACAATACTTCCCAACATCCACAAGAGACAACACCTTGAAATTAAAGCAAGCAAACCATCCAGAATTTTCCATTCTCCTGTGAATCTACTTCCGGAATATCCACTCAAGTAATCCTTCCCACTAAAGATGAAAGGCGAGCTAAGGAAATACATTAGACAGAGGAAGTAAACACTGAAACAGGGCCATGCCTAGGTATTCTTCGGCCCCAAAGAAAAAAAACTAGACTCTGGGTCCAAAGGTCTTTTTCGTGACTTTTATCCCCACCCAGAGGCCAACACCACGCAGGTCTGAGAGAGGTAACCCACGGCCACCTACCTTCTACACACACCGCACGACCTTGCTCTGAAATAATCTTGCACAAGCAAAATTCTCCACGCCTCTCAGACTCCTACCTAACGTTTCTGTGCTTCAGTTTCTGAGCTCTTCTCACTTTGCAACTGTCCCAGGGAACACTGGGTCTTCGCCTTAATTTACAAGTTTGCACTGAAGGTTTTAAATCAGTCTGATTTCCCCGTGGTGAGTCACACCCCGCAACGTGCACCAAGGGGGAGGGTGTTTAAAATTATCTCCGGCTCCACCCTTAAAACAAATCACTTGGCTGCAAGGCCTTTCCCCCTAACAGAGACTGGTTCAAGGGAGATTCGGACACATCTCCACCTCCAAAGCCAAGTGCCTTCCCGGGATGATCTGCATAACAATTTGCGGGTGCTGGTGGTGGAGAAGCTCCGGGAAGAGAAAACTAGCCGGACGGTATCGAACCGCCCGCAGGCCCGTCGCAGCTCCATTAATGCAACTACCATTACACTAAGGTAACGTGTGATTCACACTCTCCACCTTCTCTCCCCTCTCATTCGCTGGCTCCGGCGCTCGCACCGTCGGAGGGTGGGGTTGCGACGGCCACAGAGGATGGGACACCCGAGGGAAAAAAGCATTATCAAGAGAAATTAACCAGTCCCATACTAAAGACGCCTCTCCCTCTGTCCCTGAAGTTAAGTCTCAGAAGGTGGCTCCAACTCCTCCCCGGAGGCTACGGACCACCGACACACGCCTCCCTCCTGCTCTCAGCGAGACGCGGCGGGAAGCCCTCATCTCTCTCCACGACAGGCACAGGGAAGGGTCCCGGGGTGCAGGAGAGAAGAACCCCACTTTTCCCCGCCCCCTCCCCCCGAGAAACTTCTGGGACTCATTACGCAACTCAAGTAGCAGGTCCCAACAACGGGACAGCTCTCCGCAAAACGCGGGGTGCACAGGCAAACGTCTGACTTGGGGGCTGCGCGTGAGGGAGGAGCATGGGTCTCTTCCCATGTCCCCGTCCCCTGTTTTTCTACGCGCTACCTGCCGCGGGATCGCAAGTAGGGCGGTGAGAGCTCTGAGCCCTAGCCCGTTCTCCCCGAGGGCTCCCACCGGAAAAGTGGGAACGCCAGCGACTTGAGTCAGCGTGCTGGGAAGCCGGCAGAGAGGCGGGGAGAGCCTCGGCTTCCGAGAAGTCCGCGGCGGCGGCGTCGGGGGCCGGGCGGATCGACCCCCAGCCCTGGGTGGCGCAGGGCTGCGCTCACCTTCCAGACCCTTCCGTCCTCTAGTCCCGGGTCGGGCGCCCTCGTCACCTCCGCCCTCCCCTGACCTGTTGCGGTGGGAAAGGGCGCAAGTGCGGACGACGCAGGGGAGCGCCTCCTCCCGGGGCTCGGCTGCGGAACCGCGGAGGCAAAGGTGCAGCTGCGGCCGCAACGCGCGCAGGCGGCGGCCGAGTGCGCAGGGGCCGCGCGCGCCCGTCGCTCGCTAGCTGGCTGGCAAGCTCAGCACGCCGGCTGCCCGGGACGCCCCGAGGCCACGCCCTCCGCGCGAGGCCCCGCCCCCACCCCCACCTCCCGAGCTGCGGTACCGGGTTCCGCCCCGGCCCGCGCCCTCTAGCTGGCGCCACCCAAGCGGCAAGGGACGTCGCGGCCCTCCCGGGATTGGTGGGAGGATCGTGGGGGAGCGGCAGCTCAGGACGGAATACGGCAATGACCGCCCCGGTCGCGAGGGTGACCCTGCCCCGGGCTGCTGTGGGGGCGCAAGAACCCTTTCACTTTACGGCGAGATTAAGCTCAGGGTCAAGTTCTGAGCAAAAAGTGTCAAGGAGCCTTTTTGCAACCTCCTATAATATTGAAACAGATTCTGTGCCCTTTAAAGGAGATAATAACTAACATCTGGGGAGCGCTTTACAATTTAGAAAAGGCCTTTCACACACAGGCCTGTTTCATCTTCACAACAATCTTATAAAACAGATATATTGTTCCCATTTCCCAAATAATGAAACGGAAGCGCCGAAAAGTAAGTATTGTGCTCAATGTCACAGGCTACTAAGTGGCATGGGAAACCAGGTCTCCTGAATCTAGCCTCCGGGTTTCTGCTCTCCACCAGCCCAACCTCAGAAAATTCTAATAGGTGCAGGGGGCTTTGGCAAATAGACCCATGGGAAGAAGGGGAAACTTATGTCTAGTTAAGTCGCTGCCCGATTCCTGCTGTAAACATACCAAGGAAAGCAACAGGCTGTCTTCATTGTGTTGTCGCACCTTCCTTCCTGAAAGGGACGCAGAAAGATTACATCAAATGGCCCAGATGAGATTTCGCCGACAGTATTTTATGGTTTAAAATGGGTGAAATTATTTGGATGAAGAAAAGCGCCTTACTTAAATTTAATATGATGTGTAATGTAAATTGGTATAATGTGTGAAAATAAGCCCCTCCCTGCCTTCTCTGCCTTTTCTCTTTTTAATTTTGTTTGTCTCTACTGCTCTGCTCAACTCTTTTATTGTCCACATAATTGAAAACCTAATTGATGGATATTTGCATTTCCAAATTAAACCTTTGGCTACTTGACTTAATTTCCCATGGATTGTTTTCCAAAATATAACTCTTCGCCCTACTCCATATCCTCCCATCGGGAGATTGGTTTACCTAGACAGCTAAAATAATTAAGGTGTCCCTGATGAAACCTGGTGGTGTATCTATCTAAGATGAAAGTTCTGGTCATCCCTGAGCAGGATGGGACAGGAGTCATCTCTTACAAAGTGTTTGTACACCTTTTAAAGGTTTCTAACAGAGACTGATCTCTATTCTAATCAATAACAAGTATTTTAACGTTTTTGCTATATAATGAATACATTTCATTGTGAAATATATATTAGCATGGTAATATTTTATAATCTGAAAACTTTTACCACTTCTATCTAAAATGTTTTCCTTTTTTGTGTTCTTTTTGTGTCATCCCATAGTATCTCCTATAGGGCTCTTCAAACTGTGGTCAACTTAGTAAATGATGTTGACAGTGGAAGTGTGATCATTTTATTTTCCTGCCTTTGGAATTGAAGATTGTAATTTTGCAAAAATTTTGTTGAAGATGATGTAGCTTTGGTTCAGAGAGTAAGTCATTCCATTTATATCAATATTCTTAAGGCAATGTGCTAGGTGACGAGCCATATTGATGACAAAGACAGAGCTCCTATTTTCATGACATTCCAGTGTGGTGGCAGAAACAAGCAAGTAAATAATTCCAGTACACACTTCTGTTGATTTATTTCGTGAATGGTGACTGGCTATTTAAAAAGACTAAATCAAATTAATTTTCTGATAATGAATAAAAAAGGATAGCCATGCCAGTGAGTTATTATTATTTTTTAAGTTGCCTTTCTCTCTCTTCTGCTGGTCATCTTATATAAATAGTCAATAAGAAGGCTATTTTAAAAAGTGATTACACTATATCTACTTTAAAAAATTTTTTATATCTACTTTTTAAATTTCAGACATAAACAAAAGGAGAGTAATTATGTAATGGAGTTGCAGATATTTAACTTTGTTAGCTACACTTTCCTCCATCATCTTCCTTACAAGAATTCTTAAATTACATTTTTAGCACACTCAATGAAATTCCAGCACTTTCTTAATTTTGACAACCTAATCTCATACATTTCAGATTATGTTTCTAATAAGATGAAGCATGTTTCTGACATCGGTGCTTTTTTTTTTTTTTAACAGAACCCCCCCACCCCCCCAAATAAATCTCCCTTTTAAATATGATGATGGGACTTTTTAGGTGCTTCTTCATATGAGGGCTCCTGGGATGTTACCTGACAATTTTCAGCCATGATTTTACTTAAAATTTAAAAACAAATTAGTTAAACCCCTGGGACTCATAGAAGCTCACAGGATGTATTCTCAGAGCACCTAAACAGCCCATGAGGAGGGAAGACAACATTAAGATAGAGGCAGGTGAGGAATGTGCCCAGCATCACAACATGGACAACTGTTTGGTCAAACTGAAGTACTTCTAAACTCTGCAGTTGTGCAAGATCCAAGCATTTTAAGCCAGCAGTTTAAATTATGTTCCTCCAAATGACTGCATGTATATCTCAAAGGGCATTAACTTATTCTCGCAAAGTATATAAATAAATCTTTTTTTTTTTTTTTTTTGATATGAAGTTTCACTCTTGTTCCCCAGGCTGGAGTACAATGGCACCATCTCAGCTCGCCGCAACCTCCACCTCCTGGGTTCAAGCGATTCTCCTGCCTCAGCCTCCCGAGTAGCTGGGATTACAGGTATGCGCCACCATGCCCTGCTAATTTTGTATTTTTAGTAGAGACGGGTGTTTCTCCATGTTGGTCAGGCTGGTCTCGAACTCCGGACCTCAGGTTATCTGCCCATCTTCGCCTCCTAAAGTGCTGGGATTACAGGCGTGAGCCACCACGCCCGGAATAAATCTTTTTTTTTTTTTTTTTTCTTTTTGAGACAGAGTCTCGCTCTATTGCCCAGGCTGGAGTGCAATGGTGCAATCTCGGCTCACTGCAAGCTCCGTCTCCCGGGTTCACGCCATTCTCCTGCCTCAGCCTCCTGAGTAGCTGGGACTACAGGCGCCTGCCACCACGCCCGGCCAATTTTTTGTATTTTTAGTAGAGACGGAGTTTCACCATGTTAGACAGGATGGTCTCAATCTCCTGACCTCGTGATCCACCCGCCTCGGCCTCCCAAAGTGCTGGGATTACAGGCGTGAGCCACCACACCTGGCGGAACAAATAAATCTTAACCTGAGCATATACTTATGATTAAAAATAGAATAAAATAAGGCCAGGCACTGTGATCACGTTCAGAATCCCAGCACGTTGGGAGGATGAGGCAGGAGGATCACTTGAGCCCAGGACTTCAAGACCAGCCTAGGCAACGTAGTGAGTTCCTGTATCTACAGAAAGCAAAAAAATTAGCTAGGCATGGTTGTGCACAACTGAGGTCCCAGCTACTTCAGGGGCTGAGGTAGGGGGATAACTTGAGCCCTGGAGGTCGAGGATGCGTTGAGGTATGATCATGCCACTGCACTCCAGCCTGGGTGACAGAATGAGACCCCACCTCAAAAACAAAAACAAAAAAATTAAATTAAACAGCCAACCCAGACTCCGGGGAAAGCGGTGTAGATGAGGAGAGGGAGATGCTGGCACTGAGGAGGGATGAAAAAGGAGGAAGGATTAGTCTAAGCCAGGTTAAGGGAAGTAGAGGAAGGGCCAGTTCCCAAAAAAGAACAGAAATCAAGAGGAGGAGCGGGACTTCAAGGCAAAGATTATGAGGGGGGCAGTGATATGAAATAGGACAGGAAAAGTCAACCAGAAACTGATAGTGAAGGGCACTACATGCCAACCTACAAAGCTTTCCTTTCATCCTAAATGCGGTGGGTAGGAGATTGATTTGATCATGTGGCATTTTAGAAAGATTACTGAGACTGCCACATGAAAGTGGATTGGAGACAGTCAGGCTACAATTATAATCCCTAAGGTTATGCAAGAAAATGTACAGAAAGCCAGGTATAGATTGTGGGCAGATAGAGAAATTCTTAGTTATCTGTCTCTATCTGGGAGGCAGATATGCAAATGTGAACTTGCTGTAAGAAGAACCAGGTGCACAATTATTATAATTAAAATAACTGTCTGTATTTTGTGATGAATACTTTGCAGAAAACGTGATTCCTAGTGACCTGACATCACTTTTTCTAACAAATATGAGGTTCATATTGTATGTAAATTTTTCCTCATTGCTACACACTACTCCCCAAATCCAGTGGGGACTGTGAATGCTTTTTAGTCATGTAGTTGTATTGTTCAACTGATTTCACATTTAAAGTAGTAATTTGCAAAATTCCAGTGCAGCTGGAACAAAACACAATGTGAGCACAATAATATTTTTTCATCCCCCAAAACAAATGTAGGGATTTAACTGAGTTTCCACAATTTCCCAGACATTGTACACATATAACTTTATTTAATCTCCTTGAAAATGTGGGTATATTGTCTAGTTCATGAATAAAGAAGTTATAACCTCAGAGAGATATTTCATCTTGATCATGATTACATAACCAATTAAATAGTAGAAGTAGAATTTGAACTCAGCTCTTCCATGGCTGAAGGCCATGTTCTTAACACTATACACAAAATTAGATTAGTATAAGTGTTTCAACTAGTGTCTATCAGTGTGAAATTCACATCAGCAGGCTCAAGGGAGCTGGCAATGGGGTTTTCATGCTGACAGTTATATCTGGAGGACTAAATAAGAAGAGGAAAAGGAAACCTGAATGATTATGGGAAAGTCAAATAGTTGAGAAGTGGGAAGGAAAAGAAATAATAGAGAGGGTTAGACTAGAAAAGCTAAGTAACAGTGCCCCGGTGGAGCAGGATTGGAGGTAAGAGCACCCTAAAGACTATGTCACAACTTCAAGAACTCAGCACTCAATACTTTGTTTCATCCCAACCCACATCTCTCTTCTAAGTTCCAGACTATCACCCTCATTGGTTTGCAAGAAATTCCATGTGGTTGTCCCACAGGCAAAATAAATTCAATGTATCTAACGTGGAACTTATACTACCCAATTCCTGTTATTTGGTTCTCAACTTTTGTTAATGGTGCCATTATAGACTCGGGATTCTGATTCAAGTGTCCATTATTACCAAGTCATATTTAACTTTCCTCTTAAATCTCTCCCTTCCTTATGAGTTTTCTTCCCTTTTTTTGTTTTATGTCTTTATTCTTGTATTAAATAGCTACTGTCAGGTACTAATTCTGCTCAGTTCTGGGGATATAAAGAGAAGTAAGAGAATAACCTTGTTCTCAGAGAGTTCGTATCTAGAAGGAGAGTGTGGTAGGCAGAAGTCTAAGATGGCTCCCAAGATTCCCAATCCCACATGATTTCATTTCCTCTCCTTGAGTGTGGTTGGGTCTGACTGAACCAGGTGAGCTCTTTTTTGAAAAGAGGATCTAGGAGCCAAAGAAGGAGTAAGTCAGAGAGATCCAAAGCTGCAGCAGCTTCTCTTCTGTTGGCCCTAAAGGAGCAAATTACCATGCTGTATAGAGGCCATATAGCAAGGACTTGAAAGCATCCTCTGGGAGCTGAGGGTGGCCTCTGGCCAACAGCTAGTAAAAATAAAAAATAAAATAAAAAAAGGCCACAGTCATAAGAAATGGATTGTGCCAAGGGAACTTGAAAATGAACTTTCCCTAGTCAAGCCTCCAGATGAAGATACATCTGGCTACACCTTGATTTCAGCCTAGTGAGATCCCGAGCAGAGGACCCAGGTAAAACATGCCGCAAGTCCAACCTATGGAAATTGTCAGGTAATGAATGAGTGTTGTTTTAGACTGCTGAGTTTGTGGTAATTTGTTATGCAGCGACAGAAAACTCATACGGAAAGAAAAAATAAATCTATGTCTTGCTCAGTGCTAGGCTAGAGGCACACATGATAGAGCATAGGAGGTTATCAGAGCACAGACAGGGACATCCAACAAACACTAAAGGACTTGGGGAAGGCATCCTGGCAGAGGTAGTAACTAAGATGAATTCTAAAACAAAAGAGGGAGAAGAGAGAAGGAGAGGGAAGGAGGAAGAAAAAAAATTTTTGAAAGAAGAAAAGAAAAGAGGAAGTTGGGGAAAATGTGTGTGATCAAACGGGGACATGAAACTTCGTGGGCAGAGGGAGTTAAATATCCACAGGTCCCAAAGTCATAGAGTTCATAGTGACCTTTAGAAACTAAAAAGACATCAATATGTCTGAATTTGGGGACGAATGGTAAAAAATGAGGATGGAGATGTAAAAAGAAAAAAAGAACATTTACCATTTACTGATTGTATACTACGTGGAAGCCCACAGTGTCAGCTCAGCCTGCTTCAACACAACCCCAAGTCAGAGATAGATGGCACAGGTCATCTGCTCGTTTGCCTCAAATCTAGTCTAGTCTAGTCTAGGTGCCCTTCCTCTACTCTGCCTTCAGTCACGGGGTAGATTCTCCCAAACCACCTTTTCAGGGCTTCTTTGCTGGGAAACTGGCTTCTGGGTGGGTTTGGCCAATGGAAGGCACTGGGAGGAGATAGAAGGGCAGGAAGAGAGGCAACTCCTGGGCATTTCTCTTCTTTCTCTGCTCTGGGCAATGGCTCTGGCCCAGTGGCAGCACCTCCCCCATAGCCCCAGCTTCTACAGATCCCAATGAACAGCCCTGCCTCCTGAGCTCCTGTAACACTAAGTTCTCCCTTAGTCCCCACCTTAGGGTGGCAGTTGCTTAATGCCTGAATAGTCTCACCTTCCCCTTTTGGGTCTTTCAGTATTAAATTTTCTCCACTGAACTACCTGGCATGAGTGTTATTTTTGTAACTGGATCCTCACTGAATCACCATGTTTGACAAATAGCTACGAATCAGAAAGATTGAGCAACTGCCTAACGTCACACAGTTGGGATGTTGTGGGGCTGGGTTGTAGATGTTTGGCTGTGAAGCCCATCTCTTTCCACCCAGCTGCATTGTCTCTCAGAAACTTTCCATCACCATTCTGAGTCAGCTCTTTAGAACTTCACCATTACAGCAACCTCCACTCTCAGATGAATCTTCCTTAATTATACCTCTGGTCATGTGATATATGTGGCAATTGCAAAGGGAATTCAGTATCAACTCCTCATTCTAGACTCCAGGCTTTCCAGAATTTTTTTTTTTTTTTGAAATGGAGCCTCGCTCTTGTTGCCCAGGCTGGAGTGCAGTGGCGTGATCTCGGCACACTGCAACCTCCACCTCCCGGGTTCAAGCAATTCTCTACCTCAGCCTCCTGAGTAGCTGGGATTGCAGGCGCCCACCACCACGCCTGGCTAATTTTTGTGTTTTTAGTAGAGACAGGGTTTCACCATTTTGCATTTTGGCCAGGCTGGTCTTGAAATGCTGACCTCATGATCCACCCGCCTCGGCCTCCCAAAGTGCTGGGATTACAGGCATGAGTCACCATGCCTGGCCCCAGAATATTTCTTAAACCAGTCTTTCTGACTTCACTTTTGCTAGACATTTTGCTCTACTGGAAAGCTGCCCTTGATTTTCACTTGTACGTATTTACTTATTCTATTTCTGTTCCCTTTAGCTAGAATGCTCTAGTTCTACCTGTAATAAAAACAAAAACAAAAACAAAAACACATGACTGGATCTTGCTATGTGGCCCATGCTGGGTTCAAGCAATTCTCCCACCTCAGCCTCCCAAAAGTGCTGAGATTACACACATGAGTCACCATGCCCGGCCTCCACCTTTTGATATATCTGTCCTTTGAAGCTTATTTATTCATGTATTCATTCATTCAACAAGCCTGGGCAGGGTACATTCTAGGCCCTTAGGAGGGAAAATAGAACAAGATGACTCCTATCTTCTAGAATGGGGGTGGGCATACTTTTTCTGTAAAGGGCCAGATAGTAAACATTTTAAGTTTTATGGGCCACATGGTCTCTGTCACAACTACTCAACTCTGCTATTATAGCACAAAGGCAGCCATAGGCAGTACATAGAGAATGAATATGATTATTCCAACAAAACTTTATTTACAAAAGTGGGTGTTAGGTTGTAGTTTCCCATGGTTTGTTGAGGCCCTCCTCTAAAAACTCACAGCTAAACAGATGGAAAAGCCAGCAGGAAATGATAATGCATAAAACATATCAAAGAAATATGGAGGATTGTACGGCAGGCACATGTGACAACAATAACATAAACATACCCTGAGAATGACCCGGTATGGCAGATGCACCTGACAGCAATAACGTAAGTATACCCAGAGAATGACCCTGTATGGCAGACTCACCTGACAGCAATAACGTAAGCATACCCTGAGAATGACCCTATCGTCTAAGAAGAATGTGTGTTTGGAGTTCCAAGCTAAGGAATCTAGGAGTGGCCAACCCGGAGATTCATTCCTTATCTATGAGGACCATAACCTGCAGCCTATTCCCTGGAATGCAGGCTGTACAGGGGATGGAGGCCCTCTTTTGTTTTGGGTTAAATGAACATTGCCAGGTGGAGGTTGCTAGGGGAAGTGTGTTAAGTGAAAATGCTATATAAATTGCATGCTTTTTACAATTGGTTGTGGTTCTCCTGTCCAGCCCACCAACACTAGACCACCCTGTATTTAAGTCTCCTCAATAAACCCTGTCTTGTTTGCAGGTTCCAAGTCTCTTCTTCGGCCTCTCAAACATGGTACCATCCCTAATGAAGTCAACGGGTCCAGCATGACAGGATGGAAGTACAAGTGTCAGCACCTATGTGAGTCCCAAGAGGGGAAATTAGAAACAAAAAGGAAGAAGAGGACATAGGCCAGGCACGGCGGCTCACGCCTGTAATCCCAACACTTTGGGAGGCCAAGGTGGGCAGATCACCTGAGGTCAGGAGTTCAAGACCAGCCTGGTCAACATGGCAAAAGCCCATCTCTACTAAAAAATACAAAAAATTAGCCAGGCGTGGTGGTGGGAGCCTGTAATCCCACCTACTCGGGAGGCTGAGGCAGGAGAATTGCTTCAATCTGGGAGGCAGAGGTTGCAGTGAGCTGAGATCGTGCCATTGCACTCCAGCCTGGGCGACAGAGTAAGACTCTGTCTCAGAAAAAAAAAAAAAAAAAGGAAAAAAAAAGATGATATAGTCAAAGAAATAACATTAAATTTCTTATAATTTAAGATGAATGATTTCAGATTGAAAAGTTTATAAAGGTGCCAAAGAGAAAAGGAAAGATCCACACTAGATACATTAGAATGAAATGTCAAAGTAACATACATAAAGAAGAAATTCTGAAATCTTCTAGAAAGAAAGAACATGTTATCTATGAAGGAACAAGGATCATATTGATATTAGATTTCTCAACAGCACATGTGCTGCAAGAAGACAAAGGAGTAATATTAAGTATTGTGAAACAAACCTAGAGCTTAGAATTTCATATTTAAAATTCTAAATAAATTATCATTCAAATTGTTATAGTTTGGGGGCCAGGTGTGGTGGCTCATGCCTATAATCCCAGCACTTTGGGAGACTAAGGCGGGCAGATCACTTGAGCTCAGGAGTTTGAGACGAGCCTGGCAAACACGGCAAAACCCCATCTCAAAATACAAAAATTAGCTAGATGTGGTGGTGCATGCCCATAATCCTAGCTACTTGGGAGGCTGAGGCACGAGAATTGCTTGAACTTGGGAGGCGGAGGTTGCAGTGAGCCAAGATCGTGCCATTGCACTCCAGCCTGGGCGACAGAGTGAGACTCGGTCTCATATATATATGAGACTGACAAATTGATACAGTTTGGATATATGTCCCTGCCCCAGTCTCATGTTGAACTGTAATCTGCAATGTTGGAGGTGGGGCCTGGTGGGAGGTGGTTGGATCATGGGGGCAGATTTCCATGAATGGTTTAACACCATCTTCCTGGTTTGTCCTCATGACAGTGAGTGAGTTCTTGAGAGAACTCATCATTTAAAAATGTGTGGCACTTCCTCTCTTTCTCTCTTGCTCCTGCTCTGGGTATGTGACGTGCCTGCTCCCCCTTTGCCTACTGCCATAATTCAGAGTTTCCTGAGGCCTCCCAAGAAGATAAGCCGATGCCAGCACCATGCTTCCTGTAAGCTGGCAGAACCATGAGTAAATTAAACCTCTTTTTTAAATAAGTTACCCAATCTCAGGTATTTTTTATAGCAATGTGAGAATGTGCTAGCACACAAATATGTTACCACTTAAATTATCATTCAAATATAAAAGCATAGTAAAGCTGACATTAAGCCTCAAGCATACAAGTTCACAGAAAATTTGTCACACAAGGACCCACATTATAAGAGAAGCAGAAATTCATACTGCTTTAAGAGATATCAGAGGCTGGGTGTGGTGGCCCATGCCTATAATGCCAGCACTTTGGGAAGCCAAGGCAGGAGGATCGTTTGAGCCCAGGAGTTCAAGACCAGCCTGGGCAACATAGTGAGCCCTTGTCTCTATAAAAAATAAAAAAATTAGCCATGGCCCTGGTGTGGTGGCTCACGCCTGTAATCCTAGCACTTTGAGAGGCCGAGGGGGGTGGATCACTTGAGGATAGGAGTTCAAAATCAGCCTGGCCAACATGGTGAAACCCCATCTGTACTAAAAATACAAAAAATTAGCCAGGTGTGCCGATGCACGTCTGTAATCCCAGCTACTTGTGAGGCTGAGGGAGGAGAATCGCTTGAACCCAGGAGGCAGAGGTTGCAGTGAGCTGAGATCACACCACTGCACTCCAATCTGTGTGACAGAGTGAGACTCTGTTTCAAAAAAAGAAACAACCACATGTGGTGGCATGCGCCTATGGTCACAGATACTTGGGAGGCTTAGGTTGGAGGATGGCTTGGACCTGGGAAGTTGAGGCTGCAGCAAGCTATGATTGTGCCACTGCACTCCAACCTAGGCAACAGAGTGAGACCCTGTCTCAAAAGAAAAAAGAGAGAGGGAGCAATATCAGAAGGTATCAAACATGTAAGTAAAATCCAAATAAAAGAACCAAAGAAAAGAGAAATAGAAACTATTTCAATTACAACTCAGAACTAAATTCCTAGAAAATATTAATATGACATGAAAGCATGCTAATATATTTATTTTGCACGAGTAATAATATGGATTTGACAACTTTAAAATAGGGAGAAAATAAATAAGCTTATGGTGTTATCAATCAGGAGACAGAAATTATACCAATAATTTATCAGGAATTTTTTTTTTTTTTTTTTTTGAGACAGAGTCTCACTCTTGTTGCCCAGGCTGGAGTGCAATGGTGCGATCTCAGATCACTACAACCTCTGCAGCTCTGGTTCAAAGTCATTCTCCTGCCTCAGCCTCCCAAGTAGCTGGGATTACAGGTGCCTGCCACCACCACATGTGGCTAATATTTTGTATTTTTAGTAGAGACAGGGTTTCACCACATTGGCCAGGCTGGTCTCAAACTCCCGACCTCAGGTGATCCACCCGCCTTGGCCTCCCAAAGTGCTGGGCTTACAGGCATGAGCCACTGCACCCAGCAGGAAAAATTTAATATAAAGGTTACTAACTAATAAAACATGGTTAACTATTAAGACAGATAAAGGATAACTCTAAAGAATACCAGAACCTGGGCACAAGGGCTCATGCCTGTAATTCCAGCACTTTAGGAGGCCAAGGTAGGAGGATCACTTGAGCCCAGGTGTTCAAGAACAGCTTAGGCAACATAGTGAGACCCCATCTCTACAAAAAATTAAAAAACAGCCAGGCATAGTGGTACATACCTGTAGTCTCAGCTCCTCAGGAGGCTGAGGTTAGAGGATAGTTTGAACCTAGGAGGTTGAGGCTGCAGTGAATCATGATTGTATCACTGCACTCCAGCTTGGGTAACAGAGTGAGACCGTTTCTAAAAATTAAAAAAAAAAAAAAAAGGCAGCTGGATGCAGTGGCTAGCACCTGTAATCCCAGCTACTTGGGAGGCTGAGGCAGGAGGATCACTTGAGGTCAGGAGTTGGAGACCATCCTGGGCAACTTAGCAAGATCCCTATCTCTTAAAAAAAAAAAAAAAAGGAAGAAGAAGAAAAAGCAAATGTAAACAGCATGACTACCTCTAAGGCTGAGGGAGAACATCCAAGGGAGTAACAGACTTGGAAGAGATCTCAACCCTGAGGCTAAAATTCAGACCCCCTTGGAGAGGACGGGGCTGTAGCTAGATGGCAGAGAAATTATATGTGTAAATGACAGAGGAATTCACTGGAGTGCTGCAGATAGAGGTGGTGGTGCAGCTGCAGGTGGGGATGGTGAGCTGGAAGCCATCTACTGGGGTGAGGTGGAAGCTTATTGGAGAGTGAGTGCCAATGGAACTCCATAGGTGACACCATAAGAACAAAATCTACAACAAGGAGATCTAGGAAGGGCAGCTACTGCCTCTCTGCTATGCCTGCAGTGTCTCTCTAGTGCCCTCTGCTGATAAGCCTAACATTGCACCAGCTGGCAAATGAGAAATGTTCATGGGATCCAGATCCAGATCAGTTAACTCCAAACAAGAAAAAGAAAGATTGCTTTGGACTAAGGAGCAATAAATTGATAACTGGCACAGTGTTACCCTCCCTTTTTTGTTTTTGTTTTTCCATTCACGGCTATACTGTCAATATCCATTCATGCTCTATATGTATGATTATTGGACATTCTATTTTTATACACTCCCTGGTTTTCTTTTCCTTTCATTGTTTTGGGGCTATTTTATAGCTCTGAAAGTTGTAGAAAACTAATAACAATGTAAAAGATTTTTAGTTCATAGAAATGAAAATTATTTGTGTCTGGTGGAATATAGTAGATTAACCACCCTGTGGTTAGACCATTTTCCATCTTTTAAATAAATGCATTCTAGCATTCCTTGTTGCCTATTTATGTGTGTTTTTTTGAATTATCCTTTGATCTAGTTGTAACATCTTACTGGTTCCCTCATTAATTAATGAGGTAAATAAAACCTATCACACATATTCATTTTGTATTTGTATGTGAGTTATAATTCACCTTCTAAAAAATTATACTTGAAATAAGACAATCACAAAATGGCAAATATTGTATGATTCCACTTGTATGAGGTGCCTGGCATAGTCAGATTCATACAGACAGAAAGTAGAACAGTGGTTGTCAGGGCCTGGAGGGCAGGAAGGAAAGAATGCGGAGTTATTGCTTAATGGGTACAGGATTTCAGTTTGGGAGGATGAAAATGTTCTAGAGATGGGTGGTGGTGATGGTTGCACAACAATATGAATGTACTTCATGCCAATGAACTGTACACTTAAAAATGATTAAAATGATAAATTTTACATTATGCATATTTTACTATAATTTTAAAAATTAAAATTAAAAAATTTTAATACTGAGTTTATTAATTGCTTTTCAAATTCAGTCACAGTTTACTAAATATTCTGTTAGCTAAAGTCTAAATTGTAAAGTTAACCTCCAACAACTTGTATATTAAATCATGGGGGAAAAAAGAAAATGGCTAACATTTAAAAATAAACATACATATTACAAGCAAAGAGAAAATATGTAGCCAACCTACTACAGCCCTGTTTTTTAACTGATGACGAGACCATGGTTGATATTTATGACCTTCTGCTACCTACTCTGTATTCCCTTTGCCCTCAGCCAGAAGCTCAGCTGGTCAGGTGTCTTAGTGGAGTGACCAAGCTTTCATTTCTAAATTGTCTGAGTCTTAATATTCCAGCCTCTATTTTTTTGTGTGTGTGACAGTTTTCTGTTAATATTTTTTCTTGGGCATTGATATGGTTTAAATTTGTCCTCCAAAGTTTGTATGTTGAAAACTTTTTTTTTTTTTTTTGAGAAGGAGTTTCACTCTTGTTGCCTAGGCTAGAGTGCAATGGTGTGATCTCGGCTCACCACAGCCTCCACCTCCAAGATTCAAGTGATTATCCTGCCTCAGCCTCTGGAGTAGCTGGGATTACAGGCATGTGCCACCATGCCCGGTTAATTTTGTATTTTTAGTAGAGACGGGGTATCTCCATGTTGGTCAGGCTGGTCTGGAACTCCCAACCTCAGGAGTGATCCACCTGCCTTGGCGTGCTGGGATTATAGATGTGAGCCACCCCGGCCCCACAAAGTGCTGGGATTATAGACGTGAGCCACCATGCCCGGCCATATATTGGAAACTTAATCCCCAATACAACAGTACTATGTTAAAAGGTAGGACTTTTAAGAGGTGATTAGGTAATGGGAACTCTACCCTCATGAATGGATTAATGTTGTTATCAAAGGAGTGTGTTAGTTATTGAGGGAGTGGTTTGGTTATAGAAGTGAATTTGTTCCCCTTTTGCTCTTGAGCATGCTCTCTAGCCCTGGGATGCCTTCCACCATGTTGTGATGCAGCAAGAAGGCCCTCACCAGATGAAGGCTCACAATCTTTGACTTCCCAGCCTCCAGAACTGCAAGCTAAATAATTTCTTCTGTTTACAAATGATCTAGTTTGTGGCATTCTATTATAACAGCACAAAATGGATTAAGACAAAAAAATTGGTACCAAGATTGGAGTTGTTGCTATAGTAAATACTTGAAAATGCGGAAGTAGCTTTGGAACTGGGTAATGGGTAGAGGCTAAAAAGATCTGGAGCAGCAGGCTAGAAAAAGACTAGATTGCTGTAAATGGAGTATTAAGGGTGATTCTGGTGAGGGCTCAGAAGAAGAAGAGAGCTGCAGGGAAGGGCTGAGACTAATTATAGATTACTTAAGTGACCATGATTAGAATATTGGTGGAAATATAGACAGTAGAGGCCAATCTGATGAGGTCTTACATGGAAAAGAGGAATACCTTCTTGGAAACCGGAGTAAAGGCCATCCCTGTTATGAAATGGCAAAGAACTTGGCTGAGTTGTGTTCATGCCCTAGACTTTACAGAAGGCAGAATTTAAGAGTGATAAGCTAGGATATCTGATGGAAGAGCTTTTTTCTTGCTGTTGTTTTTAAGACAGGATCTTGCTCTGTCACCCAGGCTGGAATGCAGTGGTGTGATCATAGCTCATTGCAGCCTCAAACTCCTGGGCTTAAGCAATTCTCCCAGCTCAGCCTCCTGAGTAGCTGGGATGCTACTCCCCCACTCTCAGCTAATTTTTAAATTTTTTGTAGAGACAGGGTCTCACTTTGCTGCCCAGGCTTGTTTTGAACTCCTGGGCTCAACTGAACTCCCTGCCTTGGCTTCCTAAAGTACAGGCATTAGAGTTGTTAGCCACCACACCCAGCTGGGTAAAACAAATTTCTAAGAAAAATATTTTTAGGATCTGTGTGGCTACTTTTAACCACATACAGTAAGATATAAGAGGAAATAAATGACTTAAGATGGAATTCATAATTTAAAAAGAAGCAGAATGGGGCCGGGCGCAGTAGCTCATGCCTGTAATCCGAGCACTTTGGGAGGCTGAGGCAGGCAGATCACTTGAGGTCAGGACTTCAAGACCAGCCTGGCCAACATGGTGAAACCCCATCTCTACTAAAAATACAAAAAAATTAGCCAAGACTGGTGGTGCATGCCTGCGATCCCAGCTACTCAGGAGGCTGAGGCAGGAGAATCACTTGAACCCAGGAGGTAGAGGTTGCAGTTAGTCAAAATCATGCCACTGCACTCCAGCCTGGGTGACAGAGCAAGACTCCTCCTCAAAAAAAAAAAAAAAAAAAAAAAAAGGGGGAAAAAAGCAGAATGGAAAGATTTGAAAATTTTCAGCCTGGTCATGTAAAAAATGAAAAAGTGTGTTCAAGAGTTCAAGAGAGAATACTAAGGATATGGCCAAGTGACCATTTTTGCTAAGGAGTTTAGTACGTATAGAATAAAAAAGGAGAGAAAAGGATTTCTCTCTCTCTCTCTCTCTCTCTCTCTCTCCTGGAGCTGGGATACTCTCCTCCTCCTGTCCTTGGACATCAGAATTCCAGGCTCTCTGACTATGGGACTCCAGGACTTACACCAATGCCCCCAGGTTCTCAGGCCTTTGGCCTTGGACTGAGTATTACACCATCAGCTTCCCTGGCTCTGAGGATTTTGAACTTGGACTGAGTCACACTACCAGCATCTCAGGGTCTCCAGCTTGCAGATGGCCTGTCATGGGATTTCTCAGTCTCCATAATCATGTGAGCCAATTCCTCTAATAAATCTCCCCATATCACGTGCACACACACACACACACACACACACGCACACACAACACACAGTTGGTTCTGTCTCTCTGGAGAACCCTGACTAATACAGGCATGGAAGTATTAAGAGATGTCCCAGGAAATCCCCTGGGTTCCATACATAGTTCTGTTTGTCCTCGTGGTTTAGCAGTAACCTAAGTTCCCCTTTGGTAGTTGGGATCAATCACTAGCAGTATAGAAACCACTTATTCTACCTGTTGATTTGTGACATAAGCAGCCCAAGATGGTCAGGTGTTATCCTCATCTTCCAATGTAGTGGACTAGACACATAGTTGTATTTCTAATGGAAACATTTCTCCCTTGAGAACAAAAACTTTCACATCAGCAAGTCTTAGAGTTGCCAGGATAGGAAGAAACATTTTATAAGTGGGTTATTTGATACAGTAGTGAAAGGAGCCACTCTCACTCATACTCCTTGATTCCTGGACTCTTGTTCTGGCTGTGGAGGAGATGGCACTACATCACGGTCTCTGATTCAAAGCATATACTGCATCTTCCAAGTCAGAATCCGATCTTTAAAAGTGTGGTTTCACATCTGGCACTGCTGTGGTCTAAATGTTTATGTCCCCCCCAAAATTCATATGTTGAAATCCTTACCCCCAAGGTGATAGTATTTGGAAGTGGGGCCTTTGGGAGATGATTAGGTCAGGAGGGCATAGCCCTCATGAATGGGATTAGTGCCCTTAAAAATAAAAAAAGGACTGAGAGAGACCTGTCACCCCTTCTGCCATGTGACATTAGAGTGAAAAGAAGGCTGTCTATCCAGAAGAGACATCTCACCAGACACAGAAATGGATGGTACCTTGATCTTGCATTGCATAATGACATATTGGTCAATGACGGATGGTCCCATGTGATTACAGTAGAGTTGAAAAATTCCTATACCTACTGATAGTGCAACACATTATCTTTTCTATGTTTATACAAATACTTATCATTTCAACTGCCAATAGTATTCAGTACAGTAACATGCTGTAAAGGTTTGTAGCCTAGGAGGAGTAGGTTATCTCACATGGCCTAGGGGCGTAGGAGGCTATACCATCTAGGTTTGTGTAAGCACAGTCTAAGATGTTCACAGTGACAAAATCAGCTAACAACACACTTCTTAGAAGGTATTCTTGTTTTTATGTGATACATGACTAAATTCCTTCTTTCCTTCCTTCCTCCTTCCTTTCTCTTTCTCTTCTTCCCTCCCTCCCTTCCTCCCTCCTTCTTTCCCTTCCCTTCTCCTTCCTCCCTCCCTCACTCTCTCTTCCTTCCTTACTTTTCTTTCTCTTTCTCTCTCTTTTCTTTCTTCTTTTTCTCTTTCTTTCTCTCCCTTTCTTTTTCTTTATTTCTTTCTTTTCTTTCTTTCTTTTTCTCTTTCTCTCCCTTTCTTTTTCTTTCTCTCTCTCTTCCTCTCTTTCTCTCTCCTTCCTTCCTTCCTTTCCTTCCTTCCTTCCATCCTTTCCTTCCTTCCTTCCATCCTTCCTTCCTTCATCTCTCTCTCTCTCTCTTCCTTTCTTTATTTCTGTCTTTCCTCTTTTTTGAAGACAGGGTCTGATTCTGCTGCCCCGGGTGCAGTGAAGTGGCATGATCATAGCTCACTGCAGCCTCGAATTCCTGGGCTCAAGGGATTCATTCACCTCAACCTCCTGAATAGCTAGGGCTGCAGGCACACGCCACCAAGCCCAGCTAATTTTGTTATTTTTTTTGTAGAAATGGTGTCTTACTATGTTGCCCAGGCTGGTCTCGAACTCCTGGCCTTAAGAAATCTTCCCACCTTGGCCTCCCAGTGTTGGGATTGTAGGCTTGAGCCATCACACCCAGCTGTGATTGTAAATTTCTCTTGTTTATAACCACCTAGTCCATAGTATTTTCTTACTGGAGCTCAAACAGACTAAGACAGGCAGCATAAATGAGTTTTCAGTAAGCAATTTTGCCTTTAAGTTAGGGGAGCCACTTCTAGATGATGCAGTATCCGCATTCTATAGACATGAGTTCACTGCTGTATTCCCATTACCATGAAATGAGTTTCTTGAGCAGAAGCAGTGCTCTGTGGAATACCATGATGGTGGACAAGGTATTCTATGAGTCTGTGGAGGTTCTGGCAGAATCATTATGAATAGAAAAGGCATTTATACCCAGAATATGTGTCAATTCTAATGAGAATGAATTTCTGCCCTCTCAGTAATGGAAGAGTTCCAGTATAATCAGCCTGCTACCAGACAGCTGCTAATCATATGGCAATGGTGCCATATCAGGGGTCAGTGTTGGCATCTGCTGTTGGCAGATAAGGTGCTCAGCAATAGTGTCAGCCTGGCTAATCTTGATTAGGAGCTTCAGGAGAAGCTGTTGTTGAGTCCATGTCTAGCCTCCATTCCTGCCATCATGACCACTTTATTCATGTGCCCATTGAGTAAACATTAAGTGTCCGGAAAAAGTTTTTTTTTTTTTTTTTTTTGCATCCACATAGTATGTCATTTTGTCCTTTTGGTTATTCAGAGCATCCTCTGCTGTGAATTTCCCTTGATGAGCATTCACATAGACACACGTCTTTGTAGTCTATGTCCTTTCCAAGAGGTGCATCAACATACCTATTCCCCATACTTCTTTGTCACCAGTGTTTCAATCTTCTTCCTTTCTTGACCATCCAACCAAATTCTTAGCAACTGCACATAAATCAATGGAAGTACATACTTCTGTCCTCTTGTTCCAGACAAAGTAGATGTATTACTTTCCTAGGGCTGCTGTAACAAATGACCACAAACCAAGTGCCTTAAAGCAACAGAAATGTATTGTCTCATAGTTCTGGAGGCCAGAAGTCTGAAAGCAAAATGTCATCAGGCCATGCTGTCTCTCAAGCCTCTAGGGGAGAATTGTTCATTCCCTCTTCCTAGCTTCCGGTGGTTGCTGGCACTCCCTGGTGTTCCTTAGCTTGTAGACATATCACTGCAACCTCTGTCTCCATCATCACATGGCATTTTCCTTGTATATCTGAGTCCAAATTTCCCTCTTCTTTTTTATTTATTGTTTTCTTTTGAGACGGAGTTTCAGTCTTGTTGCCCAGGCTGGAGTGTAATGGTACAATCTTGGCTCACCGCAACCTCCGTCTCCTGGGTTCAAGTGATTCTCCTGCCTCAGCCTCCCAAGTAGCTGGGATTACAGGCATGCACCACCATGTCCAGCTAATTTTGTATTTTTAGTAGAGATGGGGTTTCTTTCTCCATGTTGATCAGGCTGGTCTTGAACTCCCAACCTCAGGTGATCCACCCCCCTCGGCCTCCCAAAGTGCTGGGATTACAGGCGTGAATCACCGTGCCCAGCCTTCCCTCCTTTAAGTACATCAGTCATTGAATTAAGGCCCACCCTAAAGCCATATGACTTCATCTTAACTTGATTACATCTGCCATGACTCTATTTCTGAATAATCACATTCACAGGTTTTGGGTGGACATGGAAGTAGCCTGATGTGAAGAGTCAGAACCTAAGGGGATTAGGAGGATATCCATTCATGGAAATGGCCCAGCACTGGTGCTGGAGCCCAAGAAAGGAGAGGAAGTCATCCATACATGGGAGCAACCTGGTGTGGGGAGTCAGAACTGGAGTGGGTGATGGAGGGTGCTTATACAGGGGGGCAGCTCAGAGAACACAAGAGCACAAATGGCATGGGAGGGCTTTCACCCACGAGCCTACGGTGGCCTAGTATTGCATATCAGAATACAATGGGGTGAGGAGGATGTTTGCATGGGGAGGGAATGAAAGAGGTGATGGGAGGTTGGTCATATACAGGAAGATTAATATATTCAGGTAAACTAATATGTCAAAGATAATGAGGGTCAGGTTTCTCACTGTCAGAAAAGGGATTAAAGTATAGAAATAGAGAAAATTAGTCATCGGTCCCCGTGGTGGGCCTGTTTGCATTGACTGCCCAGAGTCCATGAATCCTCCACTCCAAGCCCGTCCGGACTCCCCCGACCCCAGCTTTCTCTCCTTTGAAAACACTAAGAATAATGTCACTGCACCAGTTTTTATTAGAGCCAATCACCTATCGTGCCTGGAACAGGGATCATACCCAGATTGCCCTCAGTTCCAATAATCACCAAGTGCACATCTATAAGAAGAACGGAGCCGGGCGCTGTGGCTCACGCCTATAATTCCAGCACTTTGAGAGGCCTCGGCAGGTGGATCACGAGATCAGGAGTTCAAGACCAGCCTGGCCAAGATGGTGAAACCCCATCTCTACTAAAAATACAAAAATTAGCCAGGCATGGTGTGGCGGGCGCCTGTAATCCCAGCTACCCGGGAGGCTGAGGCAGGAGAATTGCTGGTACCCAAGAGGTGGAGGTTGCAGTGAGCTGAGATCGTGCCACTGCACTCCAGCCTGGGCGATAGAGCCAGACTCTGTCTCAAAAAAAAAAAAAAAAAAAAAAAAAAAGGAAGAAGAAGAACGGGAGCCGGGGGGTGAAAGCTCATGAACTCAAGGAGCACAACGGACATATCACAGGTATTGACTGGGCTCCCAAGAGCGACCGCATCGTCACTTGTGGGGCAGACCACAATGCCTATGTCTGGAGTCAGAAAGATGGTGTCTGTAAGCCAACCCTGGTGATCCTGAGAATTAACTGTGCAGCTACTTTTGTGAAGTAGTCCCCACTAGGGAACAAATTTGCTGTGGGAAGTGGAGCACGATTCATTTCTGTTTGTTACTTTGAGTCTGAAAATGACTGGTGGGTGAGCAAGCACATTAAAAAGCCAATTCGCTCCACAGTCCTCAGCTTGGATTGCCATCCCAACGACGTTTTGCTGGCAGCAGGATCATGTGACTTCAAATGCAGACTGTTTTCTGCCTACATTAAAGAAGTGGATGACAGCTACTCGGGAGGCTGAGGCAGGAGAATGGCGTGAGCCCGGGAGAGTTCGTAGTGAGCCGAGATCGTGCCACTGCACTCCAGCCTGGGTGACAGAGCGAGACTCCGTCTCAAAAAAAAAAAAAAAAAAAAAGTGGATGAAAAGCCAGTCAGTATGCACTGGGGCAGCAAGATGCCCTTTGGGCAGCTGATGTCAGAGTTAGGTGGCAGTGGCACTGGTGGCTGGGTCCACAGGGTCAGCTTCTCTGCCAGTGGGAGCCGCCTGGCCTGGGTCAGCCACAACAGCACCATGTCTGTTGCTGATGCCTCAAAAAGTGTGCAGGTCTCACACAGAGTTCCTGCTGCTCCTAAGTGTTTCATTTGTCTCAGAGAACAGAGTGGTGGCTGCTGGCCATGACTGCTGCCCAACGCTCTTTTCGATGACCGAGGCTGCCTGACCTTCATCTCCAGGTTGGACGTTCCAAAACAGAGCATCCAACGCAACATGTCTGTCATGAATGCTTTTGCAACATGGACAAGAGGGCCACGACTGAGGACCGCAACACGGTGTTGGAGATGCTGCACCCGAATAGCATCACTCAAGTCTCTATTTATGAGGTGGGCAAGCAAGATTGTCGCAAATTTTGCACTACTGACATCGGTGGAGCCATGACAATTTAGGATTTCAAGACTCTCGAGTCTTCCATCCAGGGCCTCTGGATGTGAAGCTGAGTGAGCTTCCGCCATCCAGCACAACAAACTGTGGAAGATCACAGCTGTGCTGTGGCACGATGGCAAGGAAGCCAGCCCCAAGGAAACACTGAGAACATATATCACGCCAATACCATGTGGTTTTGTTTGAATATAAAATTGGTTAAAGTGTTGGTTTTTTAAAAGCAGTACTTTTTTTTTTTTATTGCGACTTCATTCCATTTTTGACCAAAGCTTCTTTAAGCAGTTTATTATGGAAAATTGTGACACTAACTTAAAAGACAGTGTGAGGGAGATATGTAAATTGCCCAGTGGAAAATTAAATTAAAAACTGAATGTGGTTTTGAAAAAAAAAAAAGAAAAGCGAAAACTAGAATGAACCTTGTGGATGGATTAGAATTGGAAGCACTGGAGTGACCTAATGGTCTTTAATATATTAAGATAGATATAAATGTAAACATGTGTACACACATTTACATATATGTTTTCATGTCCATATTCATACACATTTATATGTATACACTCATATACATATCTATATGCTCATGTGTGTGTGTATACATGCACAAACACATGCATTGGTTAGTTCAATCCCCTGAAAGGACCTGGGAGTATTGACATCTCAATAGCAATAGCAAAACCATACCGAAATATTGCTTTCTAAATACCATTTTGAGAGCAGGCAGAGCAGTTGGCTCATGGATATATAGGCAGGCATTGACTATCAGGAGACCTATTAATTCCAGGGAGGCAGAAGGTGCAGCTACTTACAGTAAGAACACAGGAACTTGTAGTGATTCAAGGACCAAGCTTTGGGTCCAGACTAAAAGAGGGTTTGATCCCAGTTTTGGATTTACTAGCTAAATGATGTATGGGCAATAGGTTCCTTAACATTTTTGAGTCTCAGTTTCTCCAAATGGGATATTATAAGAATAAAAAGAGACAATCGGCTGGGCACAGTGGCTCATGACTGTAATTCCGACACTTTGGGAGGCCGAGGCAGGAGGATCACTTGAGGCCAGGAGTTTAAGACCAGCCTGGGCAATGTAGTGAGACTCTGTTTTGTTTGTTTGTTTGTTTTTGTTTTTTTAAATGGCTGAGTGCAGTGGCTCACGCCTGTAATCCCAGCACTTTGGGAGGCTGAGGTGGGTGGATCACCTGCGGTCAGGAGTTCGAGGCCAGCCTGACCAACATGGAGAAACTTCGTCTCTACTAAAAATACAAAACAAACAAACAAAAAATTATCTGGGTGTGGTGGCACATGCCTGTAATCCCAGCTACTTGGGAGGCTGAGGCAGGAGAATCACTTGAACCCAGGAGGCAGAGGTTGCAGTGAGCCAAGATCACGCCATTGCACTCCAGCCTGGGCAACAAAAAGCAAAACTCCGTCTCAAAAAAACATTTTTTTTTTCTAAATAGCCAGGCATGATAGTGCATGCCTGTGGTCCCAGCTGCTTGGAAGGCTGAGGTGGGAGGATCACTTGAGCCCAGAAGGTTAAGGCTGCAGTGAGCCATGATTGTGCCACTGCACTCCAGCCTGGGCACAGAGCAAAACCCTGTCTCTAAAAAAGAAAAGAGAGAGACAGAGAGACAGACAGACAGACAAAGAATGTAAGTAAATATCTGGCATGTTGTGAGCACTCAGTATTCTCACCTGGAACACCAGGAAGGCATGCTGCAGCAGCAAAACTCATCAAAGAAATAAGAAAAAACCCTCAGCAAGCTTTCCAAAATCTTCATCTGAGCTCAGAAGGCCAGAGACTTGGTAGAGTTCCAGGGGATTTCCAGTCCCATATACCAGCCATGAAATTAAGATGCAGCCCTTTTATGTTAATTAAGCCTAGTAATACAATTTGAGGTAGCAGATCTGTCTGATCTGTGTGTTGGATATTCCCAAGAGTGGGGGTGTAGGATGAGAGGAATTATGCCAATCTGATTTTATTCCACAAAACTAATAAGCAGGGGAAATTCCTATGAAAAGGCTGGGATCTCACCACTGTTCAAAAAAGAGCCAGTGTAAGTCTCCTCCATCCCGGACAGTGCTTACATCCAACCTGTCACCAAGCCTTCTGCCTCCACTTCCCCACAGCTGTTCTGTTTCTCTGCATTTCAAAGGACATACCTTGGTTTCAGCCCTCAATTCTGACTTGGTTATTTCATGCAAAACTTTTTTTCTTTTTTGTTTTTGAGATGGAGTCTCACTCTGTCGCCAGGCTGGAGTGCAGTGGCATGATCTTGGCCCACTACAACTTCTGCCTCCCAGGTTCAAGCAATCCTCCTGCCTCAGCCCCCTGAGTAGCTGGGACTACAGGTGCAAGCCACCACGCTCAGCTATTTTTTTTTTTTAGCTATTTTTTTTGTATCTTTAGTACAGCAGGGGTTTCACCATGTTGGCCAGGATGGTCTTGATCTCTTGACCTCGTGATCCACCCGCCTCGGCCTCCCGAAGTGCTGGGATTACAGACATGAGCCACTGTGCCCGGCCTCATGCAAAACTTTCTAACTTGACTTCCTGCCCCTAGCTTTTATGTCCTCTAAACCATTCTCCGTCTTGCCATGGACCGATTTCCCTTTTTCTAAGCATAAATCTGGTTATGCCACAGCACACTGACTCCTCAAATCCTGTTTCTTCCAGGATCAACTTCACACTTCTTAGATGGCATTCGATGACCTCCTAACAAATAATCTGCTACAACCAATAGAGGTCAGTCACACCCTGTCCCTTGGGATGATATTTTCACATTTCTACCTAAGCACTTTCCCTAGGTCTTCCTTCTTTCTCCGTTTTGCAAAAGATTGTTACTTTTTATATTCTGCCATTAAAAACATTTTAATTTTTTAATTTTTAATTTTTTTTGAGACAGAGTCTTGCGCTGTTGCCCAGGATGGAGTGCAATGGTGCGATCTCAGCTCACTGCAAACTCCACCTCCCGGGTTCAAGTGATTCTCCTGCCTCAGCCTCCTGAGTAGCTGGGATTACAGGTGCAAGCCACCACACCTGGCTAATTTTGTGTTGTTAGTAGAGACGCAAACTCCTGGTCTCAAGTGATCTGCCCGCCTTGGCCTCCGAAAGTGCTGGGATTACAGGCATGAGGAACCACACCCAGCTTCATCTTGTGTTTTGAAGAACAGAAAAATTCAGCTTGCAGGCAGAAGGGGCAAGTGCACAGAGAGAAGCAGAAATGAAATGCAGTGGGGTGCTCCTTCTACTTCTTTATTTCAGTCTCTGCCTGAGGGCTGGCTGCATTCCTGTGCTTGTGTCCAATGAGATAAGCCAGTATCTTTATTATAAATCCCACTTTCAGTTTAAATTAGTTCCCTAGAAGTTCCGCTATTTTTAACCAAATAACCTTTTTTTTTTTTTTTTTTTTTTTTAAGTCTTCCTCTGTTGCCCAGGCACCTGGCTCCAAATCACCTTAATTTAAGGAATTACGCTCAATCTTTCTGGGCGAAGAGCTTGTGACTTTATCATGTGGCTCAGTGTATCGCTAGGTTTTATTTACTGTAAGTCTTGCAGAGAATCTGGCACAGTTGGGCAGGGGATTTGAGGTGTTGTAAGCAAGGACTGATAGAAGGGTGTGTAGTTGGTTCATACAGAGTTTAGTAGGATGTTTCACTTTCACGAGGCTTATAGTAAGCATTAATAAATATTTGAACAGAGGAGTATTCCATACCTCATAAATCTAAATCTGATAAAAAATTAGAATTTAAAGTGATTGTTAATAGCTATCGTGTCGCACTGAGATATAGAAATTCAGTGATCATCCTTAATTGTTGCGCCTGTGGTCACTGTATTGGGTATCAGCCATATATTTATTTACCAGCTGACTTCTACCTTCCTGCAGCCGGTTTGCTGTTTGTTATGTAGGAAAATTCTAGTGCTGACACAGGAGACCACTCAAAGAAGCTTTTGAGAAGTTGCAAACGGCTTGGGACCTGAACAAGCACTTTTGCTTAGAATCTTTACTTTGATTTTGACACCTTCAGCCAAGTGTTGGTGTCTTGAGAATTCTCTTTCATCACTTCTTGACCCAGCTCCTCATATGTAATGGTGTTAGCTTGGCTAAGTTGGAACTATAGTTCCCAGAATCCCCTTCCCTGAATAATTTGTGTTAAAAGTTAGAAAAAGAGGAGCCTGCATGAGATATGGGTCATGGGAGATAGATGTGAACCAGCAGCCATTCTATGGGAGAAGGACACAGAGAGATTGGCATATCCCAACTTGTCCCACTCCCCACCACATTGAGAGACAGGTAAAGGTGGGGGTGAGTTCCATATGTCCTTGCTGTCTGCTCCACACCAAGTACAAGCACTTCCTCCCAAGTACAAGCCCTGATCACTAAGAGGGATCCCGCTGAGTTTCCACTTGGACAGCTGGAAGCCTGGCTTCTCACACTGGAACTTGCCCACCTGTGCCAGGAGGGCTGGTTAGTGACTTTTCTTTGATCTTCCGACGTCTGAGAATTCAGACCCTGAATTCTCCAGATTCTACAACAATAGTGGGTAGTAGTCATGTCTTGTTTGCTATCCCAGAAGTTATCACAGCTTCTAGCATATAATTAATTCTCAATAAACATTTACTAAATAAATGATCTTCAGGAGGGAGGGAGGGAGAGAGAGAGAGTAAGGTTGAGGAGGGGGAGGGAGGGGGAGAGAGAGAGAGAGAGAGTGTAAGTGTACTTCTCTTATTGAAGTGGCCCAGATGGTGGAAATTCTCTTCTGCACACTTTTGGCTAAGAGGAAAAGGTGCTTTCCAATCTCATATTACTTACTTTTAAAAATAATTCCACAAGGCACATTCCAAAAAAAAAAAAAAGACACTGTTGAAATAGAGAAACGAAAGTAGCTTGCTTGCTTAAGATCCCAGGGCAAGAGAGGAAGTAAACCAAAATAGAACTTGTAGTTACGTTTTCCTTAAGTATAACTCAAATCTACTCAGCAGTTCACTCAATTTTATCTCCCTCCCTTTATCAAACCCACTTTCTTTCATCATCACTTCTTCTGCCCCTACCCATAAACACACATATATGCTCATCCAAACACCAGCAACGTGTGTGTGTGTGTGTGTGTGTGTGTGTGTGTGTGTGTGTGTGTGTGTGTATGTTGAAAGTATAGTTCTCCAAAGGGGAATACATTCAAAACAATTCAACAGATACTTATTGAGCATCTATGTGTAAGAAAAATTGTGCTCTCTGCAGGCAAAGCAAGGATGAGTAGGGAGCAAATGTGTTGTGGCCCTCCCACTGGAGAAACTTTATACAAATTATTTGATGTGACACCATTTCTTTTTTTCTCTTTTTTTTTTTTTTCTGAGGCACAGTCACCCAGGCTGGAGTGCAGTGGCATGATCTCGGCTCACTGCAACCTCTGCTCCTCGGGTCAAGCAATTCTCCTGCCTCAGCCTCCTGAGCAGCTGGGATTACAGGCGTGCGCTACCATGCCTGGCTAATTTTTTGTATTTTTAGGATAGATGGGGTTTTGTCATGTTGGTCTCGAACTCCTGGCCTCAAGTGATCCACCCGCCTTGGCCTCCCAAAGTGCTAGGATTACAGGTGTGAGGCACCACACCTGGCCTGATGTGATACCATTCTTGGTTATTACCAAACTCCTGTCCTTAAACAGTGCCCTGTCTCTTTTTCATTCCTCCCTTGAGTCTTTGTGTTGTGTTTCCTCATGAAAATACCCCCAAAGTAGCTTAATGAGATTTAGCAGAAACAGATCTTCCAGGTCATGGCCCATTCAAGACAACATTTTTTTCAACTTCTATTTTAAGTTCAGGGGTTCATGTGTAGGATGTGAAGGTTTGTTACATGTGTCATGGGGGTTTGGTACACAGATTATTTCATCACCCTGCTATTAAGCCTAGTATCCATTATATCTAGTTATAATATTTTTCCTGATCCCCTCCCTCCTCTCCAAGAGAACATTTTATTATTCCCTAGGCAGGTGGTTCTTAACATTTGCCAGTAAACTTTTAACTGGGAAGCCTCTTTAAAATGCAGAATCCTGGGCTCCACTCCCTATCGCCCTTTTCCCTACTAAAATTCAGGATGTCTAGGAAATTTGTATTTTTCACAAGACTCTAAGTGATCATCTCACACCAGTGGTCTCTGGGCCACTCTTGGAGAAATGTCTAAAAACATCTGACAGAGAATCACCTTAAACACTTACTTGTAAAAAGCTGATTCTTTTTTTAAATTTTTATTTTAATATTTATTTATTTATTTTTGAGATGGAGTCTTGCTCTGTCACCAAGGCAGGAGTGCAGTGGTGCAATCTTGGCTCACTGCAACCTCCGCCCCCTGGGTTCAAGCAATTCTCCTGCCTCAGCCTCCCTAGTAGTTGGGATTACAGGTGTGCACTACCATGCCTGGCTAATTTTTGTATTTTTAGTAGAGATGGGGTTTTGCCATGTTGGCCAGGCTGGCCTCAAATTCCTGACCTCAAGTGATCTGCCTGCCTTGGCCTCCCAAAGTGCTGGGATTACAGGTGTGAGGCACCGTGCCCAGCCAATTCTTTTTTTTTTTTTTTTTTTTTTTTGAGACCGTCTTGCTGTGTTGCCCAGGCTGGAGTGTAGCGATGCGATCTCAACTCCCTGCAACCTTCACCTCCTCCCCAGTTCAAGCAATTCTCATGCCTCAGCCTCCCAAGAAGCTGGGATTACAGACATGCACCACCACACCCAGCTAATTTTTGTGTTTTTGGTAGAGATTAGGTTTTGCCATGTTGCCCAGGCTGGTCTCGAACTCCGGGCCTCAAGCAATCTGCCTGCCTTGGCCTCCCAAAATGCTGAGATTACAGGCCTAAGCCACCATGCCTGGCCTAAAAAGCTGATTCTTGATCCCTGGCCCATACTATCTGAATCCGAATATTTGAGGTCAGAGCCTGGTAATATGCATTTTAACGTCATTCCCCACTTAATTCTTATGGATTCCAGAGAGCTTCCTCTGAGAAGTATTGTTCAATCTACTCTACATTAAAGGCCATAAAAGCTCTCTGTAGAGAGAAATAGAAACATGCAGGGCCCTCCTCTTTAATAAACATTGATTTTAAAATCCTTCCTAATCATTAGAATTTGTTCCCAGTTTATTGCGGATCTGAGCATATCCCGGGAAATGGCTGAGTTCTGAAGGTCAGTGGCCCTTATGCCCTCTGAGGTAGTCAGGATTACTGATGGGCCCATCCCACCTAGCCCCGGTTTGCTGACTAATCATCTTCAGGTTCATCAAACAGGAATCAGAACCTCAGGGCCAGGAGCGGTGGCTCACGTGGGTAATCCCAGCACTTTGGGAAGCCAAGGTAGGTGGATAACTTGAGGTCAGGAGTTCAAGACTAGTCTGGCCAATATGGTGAAACCCTGTCTCTACTAAAAATACAAATAGAAAAGTCAGCTGGGCGTGATGGTGGGTGCCTGTAATCCCAGGTACTCGGGAGGCTGAGGCAGAATTGCTTGAACCTTGGAGACAGAGGTTGCAGTGAGCCAAGATTGTGCCATTGCACTCCAGCCTGGGCAACAGAGCGAGACTATGTCTCAAAAAAAAAGAAAAAAAAAAAAAAAGGACCTCAGAAGCCTAAGTGGTGTTCAGAACCATCTTCCTGGATAATGGGGACTGTGGTTTTTCTGGGGCCAACCTCAGATCACCACTTGTCTTCCCAACTCTACCCCAAAACTCTGTCTAACATTTCATACCAGATGCAAGGTTTCTTTTCTTCCTTGAGACAGGATCTTGCTCTGTCACCCAAGCTAGAGTGCAATGGTGCCATCATAGCTCTCTGCAGCCTTAATCTCTGGGGCTCAAGCAATCCTCCCACCTCAGCCTCCCAAGTACCTGGGACTACAGGCACGCAACTGCCACATCTGGCTATTTTATTTATTTATTTATTTATTTCGAGATGGAGTCTCTGTTGCCCAGGCTGGAGTGCAGTGGTGTGATCTCGGCTCACTGCAACTTCCACTTCCCGGGTTCAAGTGATTCTCCTGCCTCAGCTTCCTGAGTAGCAAGGACGACAGGCATGTGCCACCATGCCTAGCTACCTTTTTTTTTTTTTTGTATTTTTAGTAGAGACAGAATTTCACCATGTTGACCAGGCTGGTCTCAAACTCCTGACCTCAAATGATCCGCCTGCCTCGGCTTCCCAAAGTGCTGGGATTGCAGGCATGAGCCACTGTGCCCAGCCTAATTTTAAAATATTTTAGTAGAGACGGGGTCTCATTATGTTGCCTAGACTGGTCTCGAACTCCTGGGCTCAAGCCATCCGCCCACCTCAGCCTCTCAAAATGTTGGGATTACAGGCGTGAGTTACCGCAACCGCCCCTCATTTAGTCTTAATTACCTCCTTAAAGGCCTTATCTTCAAATATAATTACATTAGGGGTTAGGGCTTCAACGAATGAATTTTGAGGGGGCACAATTCAGTCCTTAACAGCAGCTACGTGTGGCATGTTGCTGCTTTGTAGCTTCTCTTTTGGAGAATTATGAACTCCAAGTGTACTTTTCGAATCTGTAATCATTGAACTTACAATTATTATTATTATTATTTAGAGATGCGGCCTTTTTATGCGGCCCAGGCTGACCTTGAACTCCGGGGCTCAATCAATTCTCCTGCCTCAGCCTTTTGAGTAGGCGGGACTACAGGTGTACACCACTGCTGCCAGCTTACAACTTTTTTTTTTTTTTTTTTTTTTTTTGAGACAGAGTCTTGCTCTGTCGCCAGGCTGGAGTGCAGTGGCGCGATCTTGGCTCACTGCAACCTCCCCCTCCGAGGTTCAAGCGATTACCCTGCCTCAGCCTCCTGAGTTGCTGGTGAGAGGTGACAACGTGTTACCAGCCCTCGCTCACTCTCCGCGCCTCCTCGGCCTTGGCGTCCGCTCTGGTCGCACTCGAGGAGCCCTTCAGCCCGCCGCTGCGCTATGAGGGCCCCTCTCTGGGGCTGGCCGAGGCCGGAGCCGGCTCCCTGTGCTCGCGGGGAAGTGTGAAGAGAAACGCGCGGGCGGAGCCAGGGCTGCGCAAGGCGCTCGCTAGCCGGCGCGGGTTCCGGGTGGGCGCAGGCTCGGCTGGCCCCGCACTGGGCGCGGCGGCCGGTTCCTGCTGGGCTTGATCTCGGGATGAGCTCCTTCTGGGCTACCGGAGTGCCCAGGCTGGGTGACGCAAAGTCCCGGCGAGTGCCAGCGTGCCAGTGAGAGGTGAAGCTGGCTGGGCTTCTGGGATGGGTGGGGACTTGGAGAACTTTTCAGCCTAGCTAAAGGATTGTAAATGCACCAGTCAGCACTCTGTGTCTAGCTAGAGGTTTGTGAACGCACCAATCAGCGCTCTGTGTCTAGCTAAAGGTTTGTAAACGCACCAATCAGCGCTCTGTGTCTAGCTAGTCAGTGGGGACTTGGAGAAATTTTGTGTCTAGCTAAGTAATTGTAAATGCACCAATCACCACTCTGTCTAGCTCAAGGTTTATAAACGCACCAATCAGCACCCTGTCAAAACGGACCCATCAGCTCTCTGTAAAATGGGCCAATCAGCTCTCTGTAAAATGGACCAATCAGCAGGATGTGGGTAGGGTCAGATAAGGGAATAAAGGCAGGCCACCAGAGCAAGCAGCGGCAACTTGCTTGGGTTGTCTTCGATGGTATGGGAGCTTTGTTCTTTTGATCTTTGGAATAAATGTTGTTGCTGCTTTCTCTTTGGGCCTGCGCCACCTTTAGGAGCTGTAACACTCACCATGAAGGTCTGCAGCTTCACTCCTGAAGCCAGCGAGACCACGAACCTACTGGAAGGAATGAACAATTCCAGATGCGCTGCTTTTAAGAGCTGTGACATTCACCATAAGGGTCTGTGGCTTCATTCAGCGAGACCAAGAACCGACTGATTACGGGGACACTGGGTCTACAGGTGTGCACCACCACACCCAGCTAATTTTTATATTTTTTAGTAGATAGGGGGTTTCATCATGTTGTCCAGGATGGTCTCGATCTCTTGACCTCGTGATCCACCGGCCTCGGCCTCCCAAAGTGCTAGGATTACAGGCGTGAGCCAAGCCACCGGGCCTGGCCACTTACAACATTTTTATAAACAATATTTTAAAGCAATAAATCTCCCTTTCCTCATGGAAGAAATGTGAAAATTCTTGAGGCTTCCTTTTCTTGTGAAAATAGCACACAAGGAAAGATGCATAAACATAAATGTACAGTTTAACAAATAATGAGAAGGCAATTATCTCTAAAGCTGCTAACCAGGTTAAGAAATAGAACACTGCCTGCAAGTCAGAAGCCACCATGTACCTTCCAAATCACAGCCCCCTCTCTCCCTTCAAAGGTAACCACTGTCTTGTCTTTCATGATATTCACTGTTCTTTATTTTTTTTTATTACACTGTTTGGCATACAGGGTCCTCAGTGAAAGAAATAAAGATTCCATATGATTACGGAGCTCAAATTCTAACAATAGATGATGATCAAAACAATAAACATAATAAACTATAGGATGTTAGAAGGTGATAAGTGCTGAAATAGATTAGAGCAGGGTAAGGGGGTTGTCAGCACAGGTGTCAGAAGCAGCAGTTTTGAAAAGGGTACTTGGCAAAGCCTTGACGGAGGTGGGCAAGTTATCTGGATGTTTGGAAGATGGATGTTGCAGGTAGTAGGAACAGCTAAGGTAAAGGCAGGTGGTGGTGTATTAGTTTCCCAAGGTACCACGCTGGGGGATTCACAATGGAAATTTGTTCTCTCCCAGTCCTGGAGGCTATAAGTCTGAAATCAAGGTGTCAGCAGTATTGGTGCTTTTTTGGAGGCTCTGAAGAGAGTCTGTTCATTCCCTTTTTTTTCTTTCTTTCTTTCTTTTTTTTTTTTTTTTTTTTTTTTGAGAGTCTCATTCTGTTGCCCAGGTTGGAGTTGCAGTGGCACGATCATAGCTCACTGCAGCCTTGATCTTCTGGGCTCAAGAGATCCCCCTGCCTCAGCCTTCTGAGTAGCTGGGAACAGGTGCATACCACCATGCCCAGCTAATTTTTAATTTTTTTGTAAAAGAGATGGGGTTTCACTACGTTGCCCAGGCTGGTCTTGAATTCCTGAGCTCAAACAATCCTTTCGCTTTGGCCTCCCAAAGTGCTGAGATTACAGGCATGAGCCACCACACCTGGAGTAATTCCTTATTTCTTTTACCTTCTGATCCTTGTGAGCAACCCCTAGCATTCCTTGGCTTGTGGACACATTGCTCCAGGCTCGCCTCTATGGTCACATGGTGTTCTTTCTGTGTATCTATATGTGTCATAAGTACACTAGAGATTAGATTTAGGGCCTATTCTAAACCTGATTAGATGAGGTCACCTGCAAAGTTGGCCTGATTAGATGGTCATTTGCAAAGACCCTATTTTTAAACAAGGTCACATTCACATGTATAGCATGTATAGGGAGTTAGGACTTCAACATATCTTTTTAGGGGACACAATTCAACCCATAGCAGGTGGGAGTATGCTGGGCAGGCTTAAGAAAGAGCACGAAGGTCATGGAGGGAAAAGCAGAGCAAGCAAATGAAGATTGGTATGAGTGGAGGTTATAAAAGCTGTGTGTGGCCGGGCGCGGTTGCTCACGCCTGTAATCCCAGCACTTTGGGAGGCCGAGGCGGGCAGATCACGAGGTCAGGAAATCGAGACCATCCTGGCTAACATGGTGAAACCCCATCTCTACTAAAAATACAAAAAAAAAATTAGCCGGGTGCGGTGGCGGGTGCCTGTAGTCCCAGCTACTTGGGAGGCTGAGGCAGGAAAACAGTGTGAACCTGAGAGGTGGAGCTTGCAGTGAGCCGAGATCGCGCCACTGGACTCCAGCCTGGGCGACAGATAGAGACTCCGTCTCAAAAAATAAAAAATAAATAAATAAAAATAAATAAAAGCTGTGTGTGTGAGTGTGAGTGAGAGAGACAGAGAGAAGAGATCAGATATGATCTGTGGGTCACTGTGAGGACTTCGGTTGTTTTCTCTGAATGAAAAGAGAACCATTGGCCGGGCTCAGTGGCTTATGCCTGTATTCCCAGCACTTTGGGAGGCCGAGGCAGGTGGCTCACTTGAAGTCAGTTCGAGACCAGCCTGGCCAACATGGTGAAACCCCATCTGTACTAAAAATACAAAAATTAGCCGGGTGTGGTGGCATGTGCCTGTAACCCCAGCTACTTGGGAGGCTGAAGCGCGAGAATCACTTGAACCCAGGAGACAGAGGTTGTGGTGAGCCGAGATTGCACTGCTGCACTCCAGCCTGGGTGACAGGGCAAGATTCCATGTCAAAAAAAAAAAAAAAAAGGAACCACTGCAGGATTTGAGCAGACAGACATGATCTGGCTTACAATTTGAACAGCTCACTCTGCTGTGTTGAGGAAAATTGTAATGTCCAAGATTTACCTGTCTGTTGCTAGGATATCTAGCATCAGATACATAGCTTGTCAGAGGTGGTGCAGGGATCCAAACCCAGGCAGTTTGGTAGCAGGGCCCATGCATCTGACTCCCTCACTGTGCTGTTAGCTATGGCATGCCTTTATCCTGGTGTTGAAGTCCAGCCTGATTTCAGGCATCATGGGCGGGCAGCTTCTCTACTCTCCCTGCTTCTTCGACTCACCAGCTTTAGATTCCAAAACCATGGAGGGAGCCAAGGTCAGGGCAAGAGTGTGTGTCTTAACCAACCTGGCCAGAGAAAGAGGGGTCTGGCCTTTTTGTAATGCACATGGTCTTTGCTCTTGCATTTCTGTGTCCTAATCTTGTTTTATAAGAACACCAGTCATATTGGATTAGGACCCACCCCTGTGACCTTATTTTACCCTAATTACCTCTTTGAAAGGCCCTATCTTCAAATAAAGTCACAGTCTGAGATACTGGGGTTTAGGATCTCAACACATTAATTTTGGGGACCAGGGATACAAATCTCCCAGTAACAGGAACCATCTTAGAATTCTGCCTACTGCCAGGTGCGGTGGCTCACTCCTGTAATCCCAGCAATTTGGGAGGCTGAGGTGGGTGGATCATTTGAGGTCAGGAGTTCAAGACCAGCCTGGCCAACATGGTGAAACCCTGTCTCTACTAAAAATACAAAAATTAGCCAGGTGTGGCAGGCGCCTGTAGTCCCAGCTACACGGGAGGCTGAGGGAGGAGAGTTGCTTGAACCCAGGAGGCGGAGGTTGCAGTGAGCTGAAATTGTGCCACTGCACTCCAGCCTGGGCGGCAGAGTGAGACTCAGTCTCAGAAAAAAAAAAAAAGCTGCCTATCACACCTACATTTTGGCTAGAGTTGTAAGACCAGTACTAGTTTTTAATGAAACTTACTACAAAGTCATTAATTGTCACACTCTGCTTGTGGGGTTTCAAGTCTTCTTTTAAAGACTCACACTTTGCAAAATGTAAAGCATTTTCTGGAATTTGAAGTATTATTCTGAACATGTCCAGTTTCATGAAATTTTATTTATTTGAGACAGGGGCTCGCTCTATTTCCCATGCTGGACTGCAGAGGCACTATCTTGGCTCACAGCAACTTCTGTCTCTCAGGCTCAAGTGATCTTCCCACCTCAGCCTCCTGAGTAGCTGGGACTACAGGCAGGCACCACCATGTTTGGCTAATATGTATATATTTTTAGATTTTCTGTAGAGACAAGGTCTCATATTTCCCAGGCAGGTCTCAAACTCCTGGACTTCAGCAATCTGTCCACCACTGCCTCTTGAAAGTGCTGGGATCACAGGAGTGAGCCACTGTGCCTGGCACTGCCTGAAATTTAGAATGGAATACCAGATTTAGAAACTGAGTAGACTCTATAAGACTACTTAAATACATTTTAGAGACTTTCCTTAACATTGGGATAGACGTAAGCTTGTTCTGGCATTATTTTAATTTTTAAATGTTATTATTTTATTTATTTTGTCTTTCTTTCTACAACTCTTGGTTCTGTGGGGATTTCTGGCATTATTTTATCTCTTTTTTCATTTCTCAAATGTGCAATATATAATTAAAAGCACAGAGATTGCAATGTCTACTAATGAACTGCAGGGGTGTCCTTTGACTTATTGTTGGTACTTTGAAACTAAGAAGCTGAGAAAGAATTAATAATTTGTTTTAGAGGAGCGAGCAGACAAAAAAAAATTGAGTAAAATCCTCAGACAGATTTATCATTAGGAGGTCAGTGCTTCAGCGAGAGAAGTTCTGTATTTATTTTTGAGACAGGGTCTCACTCTCAGTCTGTTGACCAGGTACAGTGGCACAATCGTGGCTCACTGCAGCCTTGACCTCCTGGGCTCAAGTGATCCTCCCACCTCAGTCTCCCAAAGTGCTGGGATTACAGGTATGAGCCACTGTGCCTGGCAGGTTCAGATTTCTTGAATTTCGTGATTAGACTTTCTATCAGAGCACTCGGCCTCTTGTTCTGGCCTCCATTTCCTCAGGAAGAGTTCAGTTGAATGGGATTTTAAATTTTTATTTTTACTTTTAGAGACAGGGACTTGCTATGTTGCCCAGGCTGAAGGGCAGTGGCTGTTCACAGGTGCGATCATAGAGCACCACCTCCTGGAACTCCTGGGCTCAAACAATTCTCTCGCCTCAGTCTGCTGAGTAGTGGGGATTATAGGTGTTCCATTTATAATATATTTTAAAAGCCAATAAAATGTGACTCAAAAATAATATTTATAATTAGAGATCTTATCTCAGTTTTCTAATTTCTCCTAGTTTCAAACTAATGATATACTCTTTTTATTCTTTTAATTATTTATTTAAAAAAATAGAGAAGGGTTTTACCATGTTGCCCAGCCTGGTCTCGAACTCCTGGGCTCAAGCCATCTGCCCACGTTGGCCTCCCAAAGTGCTGGGATTACAGGTGTGAGCCCCAGCACCTGGCCCAATGATATATTTTTATTTATTTAGAGACAGATACTTGCTCTGTCACCCAGACTGGGGGCCAGTGGCATGATCTCGGCTCACTGCAACCTCTGCCTCCTGGGCTCAAGCGATTCTTGTGTCTCAGCTTCCCAAGTAGCTGGGACTACAGGCACGTGCCATCACACCTGGCTAATTTTTGTATTTTTAGTAGAGACGGGGTTTCACCATGTTGGCCAGGCTGGTCTTGATCCCCTGGCCTCAAGTGATCTACCCACCTTGGCTTCCTAATGTGCTGGGATTACAGGCGTGAGCCACTTTGGCTGGCCTCTGTGATATACTTTTAAAGCAACATTATAAGTCAGCATGAAATTGAAACTTCAATTGAACTGAAGCAGGTAAATCCTTTGCTTTAATTAGTACTTTATAGGGTGACGTTGTAACAGCCTAAAGGTCTCATGTATTAAGATATGTAAGGAAATACTTTTTTTTCCTATACTTAGAACTAATGCTTTGTGCTTGCCTGAGGGAGGAATTCAAATGTAGTTGTCAGGGGCTGAGCTTTCCTGGTATAAGCTGCTCCGTGGCAGATGCAGGTTTGGTGGTGCCAGCCTGAGAACCAGCCAGGGATTCCCACTACTCCAGCTCTGCAGAGGATCCTAGGCTGTAAATCACATGCTATATCTTGGAACAGGAGAATGGATTCTGACCTGCTTTGTCTCCCAAGGAACAGGGCACCTGGAGATTGTGACTTCTGCCTCTAAGAAGAGTAGAGAAGTCTACCACTAGCTGCAGCCATTATTGTCTGTTTTGGTCATGCAATAATGTGTCTAAGGTATAGAAACCCACTCTAGAGCAACCAAAATGGGTGAGTGGATGAATGTTTTTGTAAGGATACAATGGGAGTTTTGTGGATACAGGAACTGTGGCTGGGTGAGAGAATCCAGAGAACTTAAAGGAGGTAGCTCAGGAGTAAAACTGACCTGGGTTCAAATCTGGCTCTACAACTTACTAGTTGTGTAATCATAAACAAGTCACTTTTATAGCCCTTTATGTATGTATGTTTTTTTTCTTTTTTGAGACAGAGTCTCACTCATTCACCCAGGCTGGAGTGCAGTGGTACGATCTCAGCTCACTGCAACCTCCACCTCCCAGGCTCAAGCAATCCTCCCACCTCAGCCTTCTGAGTAGCTGGAACTACAGGTACGTGCCACCACACCCTGCTAATTTTTGTATATTTTGTAGAGATGGGGTTTTGCCATGTTGCTCAGGCTGGTCTTGAACTCCTGAACTCAAGCAATCCACCCACCTTGACCCCCCAAAGTGCTGGGATTACAGGAATGAGCCGCTGTGTCTGGCCATTTTAGAGCCCTTTAAACATTTTTCCCCCTTAACTGTACTAGGGAAAGTATTAGTTTCTTCCCCCTTAATCTGTGAGGGTCAGATGCCATGTAAAGTGGCTAAGAATGATGGCTAGCATGGAGTAGGTGGCCAGCAATATACTTTAAAAATGACTCCAGTCCTCTAAGCCTGGCTCATAGGAGACTCATGGGCCATTCCCAGAAATAGAAAAGATAGACAGAGGAGATGATTTAGGGAGTAGGAGATGAATTACATTTTGGTTATGTTGAAATTTTCTTCTGAACAAGATAGTCCAGTAGGAAGTTCCCACAAACGGATACGCATCTAGGAGAGAAGCCAAGGCTGGCTAGAGAATCAGATTTGGGACCCATCCAAGGAGAAATGATAGTTACATTAGTGAGAACAGAGCCACTGAGAGTACTGAGGCAGAACAAATGGACTACGGGAAGACATAAATTTAAGGGCGAGAAGAATGAGAGAAATAAGCAAAGGAGTGGCCAGACAGGTGAGACAATTAGAAACTAGTACAGAAGGGTGGAGAATATTTAGGGCCGTTATTTGGTGATTTTAAAGTTTTTGCAGATGTGTTGTTTTGTCGTTATCCTAGAATTGGTGTCATTACTAGAGAGTTTTATAATAGTCATTAGAAAACTGTAAGCTGCATTTGTGATTTACACATTAAGTTAAAAGAAAGAAAATGTCACTTTTTGAAATGAGAATGACGATACACATACATATATACATGTATGTCATGAGAAATTATATTTGAAAAGGGTAGTTGCGTAACTGTTTTCAAATGTGTAATCTAAAACCTTGCCCTAATTATAGTCCTGGGAGAATATGTAGTGCAGTGTGATGAGGACGGCACAAAAATTAGAATAAGGCAGTCTGGGTTCAAATCCTGTAACCTTAGAAAAGTTATTCGTGGTTGAGGTGCCTCCATTTTTTCTTCTCTAATATTCCTAAAATCCCACCACTAAATTAATAGTAGCATTTATTGTGTGATAATTGAGACAATGTATATGAAATACATTCACCAGTACTCAAAACATAGTAAATGACTGTAAAGTTACCACACTATTATTGTTTCTGTGTTAGGTGTTGATCTTTTGCATTCCTTCTTGTGCTTTAGTGTTAACACTAGGTGGCAGCAATGCTCTCTTAACCAATTAAAAGGATACTTGCTTACTTTCTGGCATAGAAGAGATGGGTGAAGCCTTACCTAATAGAAAGATGTGTGTAGGACGCCAGCAAAGCAGGGGGGAAAAAGATGAATAGAGATAGCAATAGAGATAGGTATAGAGACATCAATAGAGATAGAGATAGAAATAGAGGGAAAGAGGGAGAGAGAGGGGAAGAAATTGTAGAAAGAATTTGATATTTCAAAAGGATATACTGAAATAGTCATTGTGAGAAAAACCAGATCTCTTTTGGACATCCACCTTCTAGAAAATTGTATTATTTTAAAATACATGTGGGGAAGTGGCAGAGGCCATGTATTTTTTTGTGTTGACAATGTTAAGGATCTTAAGTCGTCCTGGATGGCAAATGTCTGTAAAGTGTAATGTGTTTTACTGTTCATTTTAATTTTAGTATTAATCTTAATTATAAAAAGATGAGCATTTTCCTCTATATAAAACATTCCTTCTACAATAAGATATTTAGTGGTATCTATTGCTGTCTAATGCTATCTATTGTTGTGTAACCATTATCCCAAAAGTTGGTAGCTTAAAATGAGGAAATAATGATTTTTTTTTTTAATTGAGACAGGGTCTCATTCTGCCACTCAGGCTGGAGTGCAGTCGTGATCATGGCTCACAGCAGCCTCAACCTCCTGGGCTCAAGGGATCCTCCTGCCTCAGCCTCTGGAGTAGTTGGGGCTACAGGTGTGTGCCACCACATCCAGCTAAGTTTTTTTTCTACTTTCTGTAAAGATGGGGTCTCACTATGGTGCCCAGGCTGGTCTTGAACTCCCAGGCTCAAGTGATCCTCCTGTCTCAGCCTGCCGTAGTGTTGAGATTACAGGCATGAGCCACCGTGCCCAACTATGATGAACAGTTATTATCCTATATTTTCTGAGAGCCAGGAATCCTAGGGTGACTTAGCTGGGTGGTTCTGGCTCAGAATTTCTCACGAAGTTTAAGTCAAGACCTCAGCTGGGGCTAAAGTTATCTGAAGGCTTGACTGGGCCTTGAAGCATCTGCTTCCAAGATGGCTTAATCACATAGTTGGTGGCAAAAGCCCTCAATTCCTTATGAATTTCTCCATAAGGCAGCTTGAGTGTCCTTTCAAATGGCAGCCAGTCTCTCCTAGGGTGAGTGACCCAAGAGAGACTGCAAGAAGGAAGCCACAATACCTTTTATGACCTTATCTCAGAAGTCATACACAGTAATGTCCACCATATTTGTTCACAGTGAGTCACACAGGAAATAACTAAATACAATTGTCAGGAATTTTATGCATATGCTGGAAATGGAGTTCCTGTATAAAGAAATCACAGGCTTGACCTCTTCTGGTGTGGCCCTAGACCTATTTCTACAACTATAAAAAGAGAACTTACCATGGAACCATGAGGAACTTCCCTTCTAAGGTGGCTTGTCCCCTATCTGGATATAACCTCAAATAACTTCTCTGTCTCTGTTTTTTCATCTCTAAAATAAAATCACCTAAGAAAGTGCCTTTCAAATTTTTTAGACCCATTGTTAAGGGCTGTACATTGAGCCTGAGCACACACACACGTATGTGTATATGTGTATATATATATGTATATAACAGAAATGAAAGTGCCACAAAATAATACCTTCTTACACTTATCTGTGTGATGTACTCTAATTTTATTCGCCATTCTATGCTAACTCATTTTTAAAAATTCCGGCCAAAGACCGGGCGCGGTGGCTCACGCCTATAATCCCAGCACTTTGGGAGGCCGAGGTGGGCGGATCACGAGGTCAGGAGCTCTAGACCATCCTGGCTAACACGGTGAAACCCCGTCTCTACTAAAAATACAAAAAAATCAGCTGGGCGTGGTGGCGGGCGCCTGTAGTCCCAGCTACTCGAGAGGCTGAGGCAGGAGAATGGCGTGAACCCGGGAGGCAGAGCTTGCAGTGAGCTGAGATGGCGCCACTGCACTCCAGCCTGGGCGACAGAGCGAGACTCCATCTCAATAAATAAATAAATAAATAAATAAATAAATAAATAAATAAATAAATAAAAATTCAGGCCAAAATCTGTAGTACACTGGTCTCACAGTCCATTGAGGGTTTCAACATTCTTTGTGGAAAGAAAACACCCACTGTCACTCCTCGGTGCTCACTTTTCATTGGTGGTAGAGCAGAAATGCTGAAGAGCGAGTGACAGTCCTCACCTTCCAGTTTCTGGGAGGCACAAAAGCACCTTTGAAAGATGGGTCAGCCCTGCGAGCCTACTCTAATCAGAAGGATCAGAAGTTGCTTGTCAGATGGAAAGGTTACTGTGTTTTATCTTTTTTTTTTTTTTGAGATGGAGTCTCTGTTGCCCAGGCTGGAATGCAGTGGCGCCATCTCGGCTCACTGCAACCTCTGCCTCCCGGGTTCAAGCAATTCTCCTGTCTGAGCCTCCTGAATAGCTGGGACGACAGGCGCGCGCCACCTCGCCCAGCTAATTTTTGCATTTTAGTAGAGACAGGGTTTCACCATGTCGGTTGGCCAGGCTGGTCTCGAACCCCTTGACCTCGTGATCTGCCCCTCTCGGCCTCCCAAATTGCTGGGATTACAGGCGTGAGACACGCGCCCGGCCCATCCACCGTGCCTGGCCCATCTGTGTTTATCTTTAAAAGTTGGCTTTGGAACTTGCCATGTGACTCTGGGCAGCCCTTTAACCACCCTGAACTCATTCGTCGGCTCCACAATTGAAATGAGTAGTATCGCTCTTACCTATTTCATAAAGTTGTTTTTAGGCTCACAATCAATTAGGCATTTATCACGTGGCGGAGAATCTCAGGGCAGGATCTTTCATCCTCAGAACAACCCTCTAAGACATAGAGCATTATCCTTGTTTTATAGATGAAGAAATTGATGCTTAGAGCAGTGACATGCGAAATCTTAAGGTTAAATCTTAAGTGGCAGAGCTAGAATTCCAAACCAGTTCTGACATCAAAACCCTCACTCAAAATGGAAATGTAAGCTCGTTTCATTTGACCGTAAGGGGTGGCCATCTGATGTATTCAAATGAAGAAATACGAAATCACCACAGCGTAATAACGGCTTTAGAAATTGATGCTGTCTTGCTCTGAACACGAACACCTAAAATATCACACGTGGGCTTTGAGCTCACTGCCTTCACCCACTGCAGTGTGAGAACGCTGGCAACAGGGCTTCGGTTCCCCAGATGTCAGCAGCCAGGACTGGGTACATTTCTTTAAATGGCGCCCGCAAACGAAGTCCAGATCGCTTGGATGCAGCCCCCTACATTGGAAAGCGTCCTTCCCAGGAAAGGTCTGGCTTACAGCCCTCTCTGGCTGGTTGGCTGGATTCCGAGAGCGCGGCCTGCCCCGGCCCGGTTACCAGAGAGCGGACCCCGCGGGGCGCGTCTCCCGGGCCCGGCGTCCCCTCCCTGGCGGGTGGGGAGGGCCCCACAAAGCCCTTTGTTGAGGCTCCCGTGTGACGCGAGGAGCCCCAGACTCGGCGCCCGCGGCGAGCGGGAAGGAGGCGTGTGCCTGCGGCGCGGCCCCGAGGCGTGTGCGCGGCCATGTGCGCTTAGCGCAGCGCGCTCTTACCTCAGTACCCCGGCCGCGACCCTCCGAGCCCCTGGAGCCCGGGTAACCAGGCCGCCGGCGCCGGCTCGCGGGGACCCGCCACCCTGGAAGCCCCGCGCACACAGCGCATTCCTGGCGAGTCGGAGGCAGGGTGGGGCCCAGGTGTGGGAAGGAGCCGAGGCTGAGGCCGTTCCCTTCTCCGCGGGCTCTGTGGGCGGCCGAGGCCCCCACCCGTCCCGGGAACCAGTTCCTCCCGGGCCCTGCGCGTCCGTCCGGGGAAGGGTAGGGGACTCGCCCCGAATCGGCGTGCAAGGGCGGGGACGCGGGAGTGGTGCTGAGTGTTTTGAATGAGGGAAAACCTGGGAAGGATTGCTCTGCTCAAAGTGCCCGGGCCGGGGCGGGTGGTTCCTGTGCAGGCAGAGCCTTTGGTCGCTCAGCACTGCCACGATCAGACACATTTTGGCGCAGCGGTGTTGGAGCTGGTTTGGCAGGCTCAGGCAAGGGCAGAGAGTGCGACACCGAAACTTTGTCTCAGGATGACGAAACTTACCTGGCATTTTCTCCTTATTCGGTGGCAAAAAATGAAAAAATGAGTTCATGGAAAAATGAAAGAGAACACGGTTTTACACTTGGGGTTCCAGTTCAATGAACACTTATTAAGGACTTTCTGACATTCAGAATTTTTTTCTATTATTTGGCTACAAAATATTCACGTGAGAGGCATTAATTAGGTGCGTTGCCATCATTTCAGGTAAAGTGAACAGAGTTATCTGTGACATTCCATCAGGCACCTATGTAACGAAATCATACCGTAATAACTCACCATGGCGTATGGAGTGCCAAGAAAGAACACAGTGAAAACCATTTTGCGGGGCAGTTGTTATAATGTGTAAGTACTATTTTTTTTTTTTAAATCAGGGTAAGCATTGACTGCGGTGGGGAGTGTCTTTGTTAAATAAAAGGACTGGACACTCTGTGCTCCCCATGAGATACTGGGCTATGTGAAGTATTTTGAGGTGTCTGGGATCTGATTTTTTTTTTTTTTTTTTTTGGCAACTGCTTTTATAAGTTAATTATCTTACTTGGTCTTTACAACACAACACTTTCAAGTGAGAAAACTGAGGTTCAGAGAAGTTTGATCAAAGTCACAGTCCTGTAGTAAGGAAATGCAAAGGCTAGACTCGGAGTCTTTTTGTTCCAAGACAGCATTTTCTGCTTCCACCCACAACTTTAAAAAAACTTTGTTTAGATACTCCACGTCTACCAAAAAAATGCCCTGGTGTCAGATGTATCTTAACAGAGCACCTAATTAGCTGGTACAAAGGGTCGCTTTTATATCCTGTATACTTTGGCAGGCAGTGGATGGACAACACATGCTTTCCAATCAAGAAGACGTGGGCTCCAAGCCTGGCCCTGCCCCCAGCTCCCTAAGGCCATCTTCTTCGTACCTTGATCTCTGCATCTGCAAGATGCATATAACAATTGGCTATGCGGTGTGGATTATAAATGAAGTCGTGTATGTGAAGTACTTGCACATTGCCTGTCATCCAGTGAACGCATAGTGAGCACGTGTTGCAACCACACAGTAGTTTTACTCTGTGGTATTGTAGTGCAGTCTTTTCCTTTCTTAAACGTTTGATTAGGCATCAGCTGAATTTGTCTTTTAAACAATATTCTGTGAAGTAAATGAGGATTCCCTACGGGATTATAAAACCAGAGCTATAAGAAATTCAGAGAAAACTCACTGTTGCATTCTGTTTAGTTTTGTCAGTTTAGTACGTATTTAGACCTTGAACTATGGGCAAGTACCATTATAGTAAGTGTCATTATTATTATTATTATTATTATTATTATTATTATTATTTTATTTGCATTGTGTATGTGCATTGCTACACAAGACACATACACACATGTATACACACACATATGTCTTTTTAACACATGGAATCATATTGAACTTTGCTCTGCCCACCCCTTCCTAATATATCTTGTATAGCCTAATAGGTAAGAGCACTAATTCTGGAGTCTGACTTCCTGGGTTCAGATCCCAACTTCACAACCAATGGCTTTGTGACCTTGGGCAAGTTGTTCTCTGCACCTCAGTTTCCTTCCTTCCTTCCTTCCTTCCTTCCTTCCTCCCTCCCTCCCTCCCTCCCTCCCTCCCTTCTTTCCTTCTTTCCTGACAGGGTCTCACACTGTCACGCAGGCTGGAATGTTGTGCACCTCCTGGGCTTGAGTGATCCTCCCATCTCAGCCTCCTGAGTAGCTGGGACCACAGGCACACACCACTGTGCCCGGTGAGTTTGTTTTATTTTTGGTAGAGATGGGGTCTCACTTTGTTGCCCAGGCTAGTCTCAAACTCCTGTCCTCAAGTGATCCACCTTGGTCTCCCAAAGTGCTGGAATTACAGGCATGAGCCACCATGCCCGGCTGGAGATCTTTATTTTTTATCAAGACAGGGTATCACTCTATCACCTCAGTGCAGTCTCAGCCTTAGCCTCCTGGGCTCAAGTGATCCTCCTGCCGCAGCCTCTTTTGTAGCTGGAACCACAGGCCTGTGCCACCACATTCGGCTAATTTTTTGATTTTTTTGTGGAGATGAGATCTCATCACATCACCTGGGCTGGTCTTGGCCTTCTGGCCTCCAGCGATCCTCCTGCCTCTGCCTCTGCCTCTGCCTCCCAAAGTGCTGTGATTATAGGCATGAGCCAGCATGCCCAGCCTACTCTTCAGTTTTCTAATCTGTAAACTGAGGATAGTAGTAGCACCTGCCTCTTTCATATGGTTGTTGCAGTAATTACATGAGTTCATGTGTGTAAATTGCTTAAAACAGTGCCTAGTAGTAGGTGCTATGTAAACAATAACTGTTTTATTGCTTATCTTTCCAAATCGACACAATCCTTATTCTTTCATTACATGTTTGTACTACAGTTTGTTTAATCAGGCTCTTCTTGATAGATATTAAGATTATTTCCATTTTTTTTTTTTTTTTTGAGACGGAGTTTTGCTCTTCTCACCCAGGCTGAAGTGCAGTGGCATGATCTCAGCTCACTGCAACCTCCGCCTCTCGGGTTCAAGCTGGGTTCAGAACCTCTCGGGTTCAAGTAGCTGGGATTACAAGCGCCCGCCACCATGCCCAGCTAAGTTTTGTATTTTTAGTAGAGACGGGATTTCACCATGTTGGCCAGGCTGGTCTTGAGCTCCTGGCCTCAGATGATCCACCCACCTCAGCCTCCCAAAGTGTTGGGATTACAGGCGTGAGCCACCATGCCCGGCCTCCATGTTTTTTTGTTTGTTTGTTTAAACGAATGACACTTCAACACTTCAATGAACACTCTTATACATTTTTATGACTTGTTCAGGTACATCTATAATAATTGTAGACTCTAAGTCACTCCTGAAAGTTAGATGATAAAGGATGGGGAAGGTGGAACAGGTAAACAAAGGGGTGGCTGGTGTAATATGGTCACTTCCCCTGCTTGGACCAAAGCAGGTCTTTCACTTTCTTCATGCATATGAGGCTGAACTCATATTGACTGCAGATGAGAAACATGTAGCTGATATTTTCAAATTTCAGAATTAGGTGAAAGAGAACAATTTTTAAAGGTTCATAGTGGTTATTTTGAATTTGTAGTTTGGAATTTCATCCCCATTCCCAGATTGCACACTCAAAACCTTAGTCTGTGCCAAGCACCCTGCTCAATGTATGATTATGCCCTTCTTTCCTTCTTCAATATGACCACATTTTTATGAGCTATAAAAGACTCTGGAGCTTACAGTTCTTATCTACATCCTCTTACATGGAAAGAATGGATTGACTTCATGGAGGCTGAATCAAAGTTCCTGGTGTAATTTCTGGTCATTGTTCAGTATTATCTCTATATTAGTTAATATAAATCTCCCTCTCCTGTCTGGAACTACAACTCTGGAAAATTCTGAACATCTCCCCCTCCACCCATAAACCAAAATGTCTAGTGGCAAATGGAACTGAGAATTAATGTCTTCTACATCTCACATAGTAGGTGCTTAATCAATATTTATTGAATGGATTAATGAATTTTTGCCCCAGACAGGAACCTTGGGATATTGCATTGCTTGCAAAGACCTGGTCCACAAACCTAGCCAATATCAAGTTGCCTTTCTTGGAAGAAATTTCATTTGGTGGTTCTGTGCAGCTCACAAAATGTACCACCATTAAAGATGGACTGCTCCCTTCTGCAGAATGTAAGTTCCTTAAGTTCTGCTTTAATAAGTTATAAATTCAGTGTGCCATTTGCTTATCAGAGAAATGTTTAAATCTGTGTATTTACACCCATACCTCCTATCTTTGTAGCTCTGTCATCTTGTTTATTATTCAGGCATATGGATTTTGCTGTATGATATTCAGTTTTGACTTAGTTATGCCTGATGAAAAATGTATGTCAGATTGTTTTGTGTATTTTCTTTTTCAGCTATCAAACTCGAAAGGGAGTATGAAGTGAAGCGTCTTTGTAAACTGAAGTGTCAAGAAAATACATCTAAGGAAATTCAGCTTCTCCTGAGGGAAAGGCCAGCCGGTTTGAGAAGACCTCTTCCATCTAAATGACAGTCAGTTCATGATTGAATCTGTACTCTGTGTCTTGCATCCAAAGGGCATGAAGGTCTCTGGACCTTTCACTATGTATAGTTCAGGGCAGATATTTGAATGCCCACTGGTGGATGGGCCACTGCCCACAGCTGTGGGTTAGTACCCAGTTCTGACAGATCTTCTGAGTCCCTGACATACTCTTGTTCCTTGTGTCACAAACGACAGCACTGTAAGTAGATGAAAATGCATTTGGAGTTGAGTCGTTTGTGCTATTCATTTTAATTTTTGTAAAATTGCACTAAAAGAAGAGGAAATTTCTTCAGCTGCATTGTTTTCAAAAGACATCTTAAATATGCATCTTTGAGATCCCAAGGAGGGACCAAAAGAAGGCAAGAGAGAAATTCTCTTAAAAATGATAAACTGAAACATTTCATTTGGTTAAGAAAAATAATAGACTTCATTTTTAGTACCTCCCTAGTTTCCAATTTTCTTTTTTTTAAATATATATATTTTTTATTGTACTTTAAGTTCTAGGGTACATGTGCACAACGTGCAGGTTTGTTACATATGTATACATGGGCCATGTTGGTGTGCTGCATCCAGTAACTCATCATTTACATTAGGTATATCTCCTAATGCTATCCCTCCCCCATACCCCCACCCCACAACAGGCCCCCGTGTGTGATGTTCCCCTTCCTGTGTCCAAGTGTTCTCATTTTTCAATTCTCACCTATGAGTGAGAACATGCGGTGTTTGGTTTTTTGTCCTTGTGATAGTTTGCTGAGAATGATGGTTTCCAGCTTCACCCATGTCCCTACAAAGGACATGAACTCATTATTTTTTATGGCTGCATAGTATTCCATGGTGCATTTGTGCCACATTTTCTTAATCCAGTCTATCATTGTTGGACATTTGGGTTGGTTCCAAGTCTTTGCTATTGTGAGTAGTGCCACAATAAACATACGTGTGCATGTGTCTTTATAGCAGCATGATTTATATTCCTTTGGGTATATACCTAGTAATGGGATGGCTGGGTCAAATGGTATTTCTAGTTCTAGATCCCTGAGGAATTGCCACACTGTCTTCCACAATGGTTGAACTAGTTTACAGTCCCACCAACAGTGTAAAAGTGTTCCTATTTCTCCACATCCTCCCCAGCACCTGTTGTTTCCTGACTTTTTAATGATCCTCATTCTAACTGGTGTGAGATGATATCTCATTGTGGTTTTGATTTGCATTTCTCTGATGGCCAGTGATGATGCACATTTTTTCATGTGCCTGTTGGCTGCATAAATGTCTTCTTTTGAGAAGTGTCTGTTCATATCCTTTGCCCACTTTTTGATGGGGTTGTTTTTTTCTTGTAAATTTGTTTGAGTTCCTTGTAGATTCTGGATATTAGCCCTTTGTCAGATAAGTAGGTTGCAAAAATTTTCTCCCATTCTGTAGGTTGCCTGTTCACTCTGATGGTAGTTTCTTTTGCTGTGCAGAAGCTCTTTAGTTTAACCATTCCTTCTGAAACTATTCCAATCAATAGAAAAAGAGGGTATCCTCCCTAACTCATTTTATGAGGCCAGCATCATCCTGATACCAAAGCCTGGTAGAGACACAACCAAAAAAGAGAATTTTAGACCAATATCCCTGATGAACATCGATGCAAAAATCCTCAATAAAATACTGGCAAACTGAATCCAGCAGCACATCAAAAAGCTTATCCACCATGATCAAGTGGGCTTCATCCCTGGGATGCAAGGCTGGTTCAACATACGCAAATCAATAAACGTAATCCAGCATATAAACAGAACCAGAGACAAAAACCACATGATTATCTCCATAGATGCAGAAAAGGCCTTCGACAAAATTCAACAGCCCTTCACGCTAAAAACTGTCAATAAATTAGGTATTGATGGGACGTATCTCAAAATAATAAGAGCTATTTATGACAAACCCACAGCCAATATCATACTGAATGGGCAAAAACTGGAAGCATTCCCTTTGAAAACTGGCACAAGACAGGGATGCCCTCTCTCCCCACTCCTATTCAACATAGTGTTGGAAGTTCTGGCCAGGGCAATCAGGCAGGAGAAAGAAATAAAGCATATTCAGTTAGGAAAAGAGGAAGTCAAATTGTCCCTGTTTGCAGATGACATGATTGTATATCTAGAAAACCCCACCGTCTCAGCCCAAAATCTCCTTAAGCTGATAAGCAACTTCAGCAAAGTCTCAGGATACAAAATCAATGTGCAAAAATCACAAGCATTCTTATACACCAATAACAGACAAACAGAGAGCCAAATCGTGAATGAACTCCCATTCGCAATTGCTTCAAAGAGAATAAAATACATAGGAATCCACCTTACAAGGGATGTGAAGGACCTCTTCAAGGAGAACTACAAACCACTGCTCAACGAAATAAAAGAGGACACAAACAAATGGAAGAACATTCCATGCTCATGGATAGGAAGAATCAATATCGTGAAAATGGCCATACTGCCCAAGGTAATTTATAGATTCAATGCCATCCCCATCAAGCTACCAATGACTTTCTTCACAGAATTGGAAAAAACTACTTCAAAGTTCATATGGAACCAAAAAAGAGCCCGCATTGCCAAGTCAATCCTAAGCCAAAAGAACAAAGCTGGAGGCATCACGCTACCTGACTTCAAACTATACTACAAGGCTACAGTAACCAAAACAGCATGGTACTGGTACCAAAACAGAGATATAGACCAATGGAACAGAGCCCTCAGAAATAATACCACACATCTGCAACTATCTGATCTTTGACAAACCTGACAAAAACGAACAATGGGGAAAGGATTCCCTATTTAACAAATGGTGCTGGGAAAACTGGCTAGCCATATGTAGAAAGCTGAAACTGGATCCCTTCCTTACACCTTACACAAAAATTAATTCAAGATGGATTACAGACTTAAATGTTAGACCTAAAAACCATAAAAACCCTAGAAGAAAACCTAGGCAACACCATTCAGGACATAGGCATGGGCAAGGACTTCATGTCTAAAACACCAAAAGCGATGGCAACAAAAGCCAAAATTGACAAATGGGATCTAGTTTCCAATTTGCAATGAAACATCATTGAATATTCACATGTGGTGCTTTAAAGTAGCAAGTAGAACTCACTTTGTTTTTGTTCTCCTAAAAAAAATTGTCAGGCTGGGGGTGATGGCTTATGCCTATAAATCTCAGTGCTTTCGGAGGCTGAGGTGGGAGACTCGCTTGGGCCCAGGAGTTTGGGACCAGCCTGGGCAATATAGGGAGACCCGGTCTCCACAAAAAATTAAAAAATTAGCTGAACATGGTGCTGTGTGCCTGTAGTCCCAGCTACTCAGGAGGCTGAGATGGGAGGATCCCTTGAGCCTAGTAGTTTGACGCTGCATTGAGCTGTGATCATGCCACTGCACTCCAGCCAAGGCAGCAGAGTGAGAACGTGTCTCAAAAAAAAAAAAAAAAAAAAAAATTCAGTCTTTTTCCTTCTGCCTAATTTCTTATTTTCTATCTGGAATGACCCTGAAGCATATGGAACACACATACTTGTGTGAAAGTGACATGAAAATACACAGAAGGTCTTATGAGGAAAACACAGAGTGGATGGGGGATGGGGAATTGATCAACTGGAAAGTATTGGATTTGGATGAATAATTTTTCTAGCATTTGAATCCAATAAAGCACACTTGGATATTAATGTTACATTTGAGCACAGTTTAGTATTTTTTAGATGATTCAGTAGGCATTTTAGGATCTTCTGGTATTTTTTTTTTCCCACCCAGGCTGGAGTGGAAGTTTCACTGTAACCTCTGCCTCCTGGGTTCAAGCAATTCTCATGCTTCAGTAACACGAGTGGCTGGGACTACAGGCATGCACCACCACACCTAGCTAATTTTTGTATTTTTTAGTAGAGATGGGATTTCACCATGTTGGCCAGGGTGGTCTCGAACTTCTGACCTCAAGTGATCTGCCCATCTTGGCCTCCCAAAGTGCTGGGATTACAGGTGTGAGCCACCGCGCCTGGCTGATCTTCTAGTATCTTAGCTTCATTTCATTATGAAAGGCACTGTGGCATACTGTTTAAGAATATAGACTTTAGACCTGGGTGCCTTTCTTCAAATCATAGCTCAGCTGCTTATTGCTGTGTGAGCTGGGATAAGTTACCTTGTTTCTGTGTTTGTTTTCTCATTTGTAAAATGGGGATAATACAGGTATACCTACTTCTTAAGATTAAATGAAAACTGCCAGGCACACAATGAGAATTACTCTAGTGTTAGACATTACTGTGAGTATCACTATCATTGTAATCTAGGTATAGAAGATATATTATATTGGGCTGATTCTCTTGATCTTTGTGCAGACCAGGAGTCTTGAAATTTAAAAAATTTGGTTTTATTCTTACAATATATATGTACTACTTGCCAAACTATCTGACCTGAATTTTTAGTTGAAAATATGGCCACTGTACCTATGGCAAATCCTGATCATTTCTCTTTAAAAATCATAATCCCTGATAATCAACTTGTCACTTATGTCTTTCTCTTAAAAGTAGCATGGAGAATTTGTGTGCAAAAATGTCACATCCTGATGTCCCCACTGTGTAACCCAGAAGCACAGATATCATTTTGTGGTCTGTCCTCTGGAGCCACCAGGGAGCCCTAAGCATGTCACACCTCACTCACAACCTGGCACTTTTAGTTAGTGGCATTAATTGTGGGTATAAGTAATATGCTTCCATCTGTTGTCCAAAAGACCATCAGGATGGCTAAATATTAGAAAGGAGAGTTTTATTGGTGATATCAGTTTGCGAATTGGGAAGAGAGTCTCTGAAGTGGACTGAAGGTGCTCTTTCTTCGAAGAGGGAAAGGGCAGGCTGGGTTTTAGGCCTCCCAGGGCGTGTATCACACAGTAAAGTAATACATATTCAGCAGGTTTTGGGGGGAAAGCTATACATATGTATGAAGGTAGTCAAGCACATGTGCAATGGGCAAACATATATGTAACATACTTCCCATGTTCACTTTGGGGTGGGGTTTTAGCATTAAAATAAGGTGGAGTTTGGCTCTATATCAAAAGTGAACTACAGGGCACAGACACAGTTCATGAGCAGCCTCTATAAGCTGGCAGAAACTGGCTTAAGGTCTGTAGTTGCTTTTCAGAAAAGAAGGTTTGTAAGGTTAGTCCTCTGCTCAATCAGAGTTGTAGTGGTGTGGGATGTAAATCAAGGTCAGGAGGGCTGTGATAGCTCCTGTTGTTATGGAATTTAGCAAGAGTGTGCTTTTTCTTCTAGGGGTAGGAATTTAGGAAGTTGTCATGCCAACTGAGCCCTGAGCCCTTGACACCATAATAATTTTTATTTCCTTAACCTTGTGGGCCATCTTAGTTGATAAAGAGGCATCTGTTCTGGTCTCTCAGATCACACATTCTTTTTCATAATGTTGAAAATGAATGAAACGTGTATCTGTAAAAAGTTTGCCAGAATAAAATATTTTAATATTCCTTGAGAAAAGATGGAATTTGAGAAAGCTTTGGTTCCTCATGATTTTCTTGAGAGAAGAGTCCTGCTTCCAGCTTTAAGATTCTCTTAATCATGATTTTAGGCAGGTGTTTCTGAACCTCTGAAAACTGCACATATTGAAATAAAATTACATTGCAAAATTCAGTAATATGTGTATATGTCTCTCCCTCTCTTGAAATGCCTTAAGAGCAGGAAAGGAATGCTTTCTTATGTTAGTGCTCCAATGCATAACTCATATAGGCACTCAATAGACGATCATTGATTGAAAATTTTCAGGGCCGGGCATGGAGGCGCACGCCTGTAATCCCAGCACTTTGGGAGGCTGAGATGGGTGGATCACCTGAGATCAGGAGTTCAAGACCAGCCTGGCCAACATGGTGAAACCCCGTCTCTACTAAAACTACAAAAAATTAGCCAGGCATGGTGGCATGCGCCTGTAATCCCAGCTACTTGGGAGGCTGAGGCAGGAGGAGAATCACTTGAACCCAGGAGGTGGAGGTTGCAGTGAGCCAAGATCACACCATTGCACTCCAGCCTGGGAGACAAGAGTGAAACTCCATCTCAAAAAAAAAAAAGAAAATTTCAGATGGTGAAAGATCCACAATAGAATGCACTTGATTGTTGCATTCTTATTTTTAATTTTTTTAATTAAAAGAATTTTTTTAGAGACAGGATCTGGCTCTGTTGCCCAGGCTGGGGCGTAGTAGCATGATCATTACTCGCTTCAACTTTGAACTCCTAAGTTCAAGCAATCCCAGCTACTTGGGACTATAGCTGCCTATGGTCCCACCATGCGTGGCTAATTTTTTTGGTATTCTTTTTAAGATAGGATACTTTTTAAAAATCAGGAGATAGCCATGATATGATTGAATATGGGACTAAAACAGTTCAAGACAAAGGTCAGAATGAACAAATATACCATTTTTACGTAAAACATTTTAAGGTTATAACAATTTAATTAAAACTGATAACAATTCAACTTCAGTGGCATGCAAAAATTCTACTTCTTTACATCTCCACTTTCCCCTACTTTGGTATTGATGTCAGAAATTACATCTTTCTATATTGTGTATTCATTAACATAATTTATAGTTATTTTTCATGCTTTTGTATTTTAGATTCTATGCCAAACTTAAAAGTGATCTACACAACAACATTACACTACTTACAATACTATAGAATTTTATATATAGATAGAGAAACCTTTTTTTTTTTTTTTTTGAGGCGGAATCTCACTCTGTTGCCCAGGCTGGAGTCGAGTGGTGTGATCTCAGCTCACTGCAACCTCCACCTCCTGGGTTCATGCAATTTTCCTGCCTCAGCCTCCTGAATAGCTGGGATTACAGGCATGTGCCACCATGCCCAGCTAATTTTAGTAGAGACAGGATTTTGCCATGTTGACCAGCCTTGTCTCAAACTCCTGACCTCAGGTGATCTGCCTGCCTCAGCCTCCCAAAGTGCTAGGACTACAGGCATGAGCCACTGCACCTGGCCTAATTCTACATTTTATCTACATATTTACCTTTATCAGAAAGCTTTATATTTTTCTATGGTTTTATGTTGCTGTCTAGTGTCTTTTTGTTTCAACTTGAAGGAGTCTCTTTAGTATTTCTTGTAGGGGTAAGGCCTAGTGGTAACGAACCTCCTCAGCTTTTGTTTATCTGGGAAAGTTTTAATTTCTTTTTAATTTTTGAAGGACAGTTTTGCCACACATAGTGTTGTTGGTTGGCAGTTTTTTCCCTTTTAGCACTTCAAATATATTACCTCACTCCCTTCTGGCCTGGAGGGTTTCTTTTATTTGAGACGGAGTCTCGCTCTGTCACCCAGGCTGGAGTGCAGTGGCGCAATCTTGGCTTACTGCAACCTCCAACTCCTGGGCTCAAGCAATTCTCTGCCTCATGCTCCCAAGTAGCACCACCACGCCTGGCTAATTTTGGATTTTTAGTAGAGACAGGGTTTCACCATGTTGGTCAGGCTGGTCTCGAACTCCTGACCTCAACTGATCTGTTCACCTTGGCCTCCCAAGGTGCTGGGAGTATTGGTGGGAGCCACCACACTTTGCCCTGGCCTGCAGGGTTTCTGCTAAAAAATCTGCTGGTAGGCTGGGCTCAGTGGTTCACACCTGTAATCCCAGAAGGTTGGGAGGCCAAGGTGGGAGGATTGCTTGAGACCAGGAGTTTAAGAACAGCTTGAGCAATACGGTGAGACCTCATCTCTACAAAAAATAAAAAGAAAATTATCCAGGCATGGTAGTGTGTGCCTATAGTCACAGTTACTCCAGAGGCTGAGGCAGGAGGATTGCTTGAGCCCAGGAGTTCGAGGCTGCAGTGAGCTATGATGATGCCACTGCACTCTAGCTTGGGTGACAGAGCAAGATCCTATCTCAAAAAAAAAAAAAAAAAGAAACAAAACAAACTGCTTATAGTCTAATAAGATCTCCCTAGTATGTGATGAGTCACTTTTCTCTTGCTGCTTTCAAGATTCTCTCTTTGTCTTTGACATTTTACAGTTTGATAATAATGTGTTTTGGTTTGGGTCACTTTGGTTTATCCTAGTTGGAGTTTGTTGGGCTTTTTGAATTGGTATGTTCATTTTCTTCCTCAAATTTGGGAAGATTTTGGCCATTATCTCTTCAAGTAGGCTTGCTAGTCCTTTCTCCCTTTTCTTCTGGGTCTCCCATCATGCATATATTGGTCTGTTTGATGGTGTTCTATAAGTATTTTTGGCGTTCTTCACTTTTCTTCATTCTTTCTTTTTGCTTATCTGACTCAATAATTTTAAGTGATCTGACTTCAAATTCACTGACTCTTTTTTCTGCTTAAGTGTCCTGTTGAACTCCTCTAGTGAATTTTAAAATTCAGTTATTGTATTCTTCAGCTCCAGATTTTAAAAAATGGTTTCTATGACTTTGTTGATATTCTCATTTTGTACATGTATCATTTTCCTGATTTTTAGTTGTTTATCTTCTCTGTTAGCTCACTTAGCATCTTTAAGATGTTTATTTTGAATCCTTTGTCAGGTAAATCATAGGCCTGCGTTTCTTTGGGGGTTGGTTTCTGGAAATTTATTTTGTTACTTTGATCAGGCCATGTTTTCCTGTTTCTTTGTAGGCCTTGTGCCCTTTTGTTGAGCTTTGGGCATTCAAAAAACAAAAACAAAAAACAAACAAAAAAACCAAAACCCCCCAAACCAAATAAAAAACAGCTACCTCTCCCAGTCTTTAGACATTGGCTTCATGCAGGGGAGGGTCTTCACCAGTCAGCCTGGCTAGAGTGTATGGCGACCTCCCAAACCTTTCTGGGAATGCATCTTCTCTGGGCTTGTGTGTATAACTTCCCAGTTAAAAAAGGTTTACTTGCTTCTTCACTGGAGCTCATAATCTTTTGCTTTTCCTGGTGTCTGTCTGTGGTACTACACTCTCTCCAGTGCTGTAACAAACTGTGGAGCTTGCCTTTGTTCCCAGTGGCCCCCCAACTTGGCATCCAAACTGCTGTTCTGGTCACTGTTCCAAGTCAGGTAAGATAGAACCCAGTCCTTGAGCAGCATCCCCGAAAAACCAGAATGTTGGATAAACAGTGCATTCATCTCTTTCACTCCTGAGGAAAAATGGGGTTAGAATTTTTCTCCTGGTTGTGCCACCTTGTGCACGGGAGAAGGAATGGCTAGGGCAGGTAAAATGCCATGAATTTTCCTACCCATTTCAATGCACTTGCTGAGGTGCTGCAACCTCTTAACTTGTTTCTGGAGTTCTTACTAAAGCAGTTTGGTTTGTATATTGTTAAGTCAGTGTCTTCCTTGGTGAGTGAGGATCTGAGGCTTCCTATTCTGCCACCTTACTGATATCACTCTGCAAATATAAAATTTTTGATACATTGCTATCACTCTGGGATTTGGGGGTTATGGATAACTTTGAGGTTACAAACCTATGCATTCCAATATCGAGTCAGTAGCATAAATGAGCAAAATGGTCCAGTGAAGCCATACAGGGAGTGCAGAGACTGGAGAAGGGGAGAGCATGCGCCTCCTCCAAAGGGGCAGCAGCCACTCAGCTCCAGTCTGTCGGTGCCATGCTAGAGTGGCATTGAGGGGATAATCTTCCAGTTTGATTTTCCCAAGGGGAAGATCTTCCAATTTTTTTAGAGAATCTGATAATAAAGATGAAAAAAAAAAACACATGCAACTCGTTATTGTGGAAAATTTCAAACATGCAAGAGTAGTAAGAATAAGAAAATGAATCTCTATGTCTCTATCACCTTGCTCCAGCACTTATCAACTCACGGCCAATTTTATCTCACTTATACTCACTCACTTTCCACACCCCAGTTCCCACCATTGGGTTATTTTGAAGTAAATTCTAGATAGCATATCAGTACATCTGTAATTATAGAAATGCAGATTTTATAAATGTAGATTTCCAATTTTATAAAGGTGCGGAACAATCAAAGCATCCTGGGGGTTATAATCCATGTAGGTCCATAGTTTAACCTCAGAGTAAGGAGTTGTGTCTGGTGGTTGCTGCTTTGACATATTTAGAAGCCATTATCTGAATTATCCCGATATTTTCTTCTATCTGTGACATATGGCACAAATGAAGAGCACTTTGTGTCAGGAGTTTTGATGTGAGTGACTCATTTGATTTAGTGATCCTCATCCCTGAAAAAAGTTGTCAGGAACCCAGGCTCTGTATATAGCCTTGGCTGTGTGACTTGAGAAGGTGGAACATCAACATTCCTAGTCCAAATTTGCCTCATAAAATTCCAGTGTGCTCTGTGTAAGACTCTGATCTGCCAACCAGAAACATTCCCAAAGTTTCTTGGCTGAAAGTCTGGGAGTTGGAGCTTTCACCAGATTACCCACTCTACTCTTTCTTCCCACTTCCTTTACATACCTGTCCTCTCCTATTTGTTCTTTCTGACATTTTGACTAAATTTCCTCCATCTCAGTAATTATCATAAATATTAGAGCTGGATTGTTAACTGGTTAAAATGTGGAAAAAGACCATTTTACGATTACACAACCAAAGATAGTTGTTAGCAGAAATTTAGTGTGTTTTCATTTCTTTGGAAATCAAAACCAATTCAATTTTCTTTAAAAATTAACAATCTCCAGCTGTATCAACATATGTTTTGGACTGTGAAAAGATTCATGCTGTATTTTTATTTTTGTAGTCCACATCCCACTGAGCGGCCTGAACTCTTTCTTTTTAGGGTTACTGTCACTAATCCATCTAGTCTCAGGGATAATACTTCCAATAATTTATTTGAAAACTGTAAATATTTTAAAATCTAAAGTCCGCAAATCTACTGCGCAATATATCTGGCATTGTTGCTGTTAGTTTTGATTTCTTAAAAATCAGATTTAGATAAGATAGTAATAGAGAGAAAACTCTAGGTTTTAGTAGATCTGGGTTCTAGAGTCTTCCCTGTCCCAATTAGTTGTATATCCATGAGAAAATCTCTTTTTTTTTATTTTAAAATTGCAACCAATTTTATTTTAATTTTACTTGGATGCAACAGCCAGAGAACTTTCCTAAATTCTGAATAGTAAAGATCACCCATAGCTTCACCATACAATTTCAGAAAGATACACTGTGTATGTAAATACCATGACCATCCAGAAATTTTCTTCTGGTTCATTGAAGAACTGTCTGTTCTTCTGTGTATGTAAAGATTTTGCAGGTTTTGATGGGCTAAAGGTCCTTGTAAACTGTACAATAGCTTCACACAATCCGACATTTCTAATCTTTTCATTTTTTCTACCTCATTTGGATGATAAAATAAAATCTTATTTTCCCCCTCTCCTTTGCGCAGCCTGAAGCGCGGATTGTAGATGAAGAAACTCAGCAGCGCCGGCGGGAACTGCTTCTCCTGGGCCGCCCAGGACCCGCTCCCGGCCCCGGCCGTCGCTGCGCTGCAGCCATCCTGGCCCGGCCCCCACCTCAGGAAGCCTCCCACGGCCCGCCCAGAGACCGAGAAAATCTCTTAATTTCAGTGGAACTCAGTTTGTTTCTCTTTTTAAACATTGCCAGTTATAAATGTATTTTATTTTATATTATTTTTATTTATTTATTTATTTGAGACCGAGTCTTACTCTGTTGCCTGGAGTGCAGGGGCACAATGTCAGCTCACTGCAAGCTCCGCCTCTTGGGTTCAAGTGATTCTCATGCCTCAGCCTCCTGAGTAGCTGGGACTAGAGGCGCAAGCCACCACGCCTGGCTAATTTTTGTATTTTTAGTACAGACGGGGTTTTGCCATGTTGGCCAGGCTGGTTTTGAACTCCTGACTTCAGGTGATCCACCCGCCTTGGCTTCCCAAAGTGCTGGGATTACAGGCATGAGCCACTCTGCCCGGCTTCTGTAAATGTATTTCAAATAAAGATTTGTTTTTTAAAACAGTAGTTTCCAAGCTGGTCATGGTGGCTTATGCCTGTAATCCCAGCACTTTTGGAGGCTGAGGTGGGAGGATCTCTTGAGGCCAAGAGTTCAAGACCAGTCTGAACAAAAGAGTGAAACCCCATCTCTACAAAAGCAAAAAAAAAAAAAAAAAAAAAAATCAGCCAGACATGACTGTAGTCCCAGCCACTTGGGAGGCTAAAGTGGGAGGATCCCTTGAGTGCTCAGGAATTCGAGGTTACAGTGAGCTATGATTGCATCACTGTACTCCCGCCTGGGCAACAGAAAAAAACCCTGTCTTAAAATAAAATAGGCCAGGCACAGTGGCTCACGCCTGTAATCCCAACACTTTGGGAGGCTGAGGTGGATGGATCGCCTGAGGTCAGGAGTTGGAGACCAGTCTGGCCAACATGGTGAAACCCTGTCTCTACTAAAAATACAAAAAAATTAGCTGGGCATGGTGGTGTGCGCCTGTAATCCCAGCTACTCGGGAGGCTGAGGCAGGGGAATTGCTTGAACCAGGGAGGTGGGGGTTGCAGTGAGCCGAGATCTCGCCACTGTACTCCAGCCTGGGCCACAGAGCGAGACTCCATCTCAAAAAAATAATAAATAAATAAATAAAATAAAATAATAGTTTTCTATACCACTACCACTCATTTCTACCTCTACAGAGTCAACTAATTTCACGTACTTTACCTATGTTGTTATTTACCTCCATGACTCGAAAACTGGAAATACCACGTCGGTATTACTACTTCTTGTTTGTTTGTTTTTTTTTTCTTTTCTTTCTAGGCACAATCTATTGACTTCCCAGTATAGATGATAACATTTTTTCTTTTTTTTTTTTCCTTGAGACGGAGTCTCACTTTGTTGCCCAGGCTGGAGTGCAATGGCACACTCTTGGCTCACTGCAACCTCTGCCTCCCGGGTTCAAGTGATTCTCCTGCCTCAGCCTCCCTAGTAGCTGGGATTACAGGCACGTGCCACCACACCCGGCTAATTTTTGTGTTTTTGGTAGAGACCAGGTTTCACCATGTTGGCCAGGCTGGTCTCAAACTCTTGACCTCAAGTCATTCATCCGCCTCAGCCTCCCAAAATGCTGGGATTACAGGTGTGAGCCACCGTGCACGGCCTATTTTTTTTCTTAACCTTACCACAGGTGTAGAATATTTCCTTTTCCCTCTAAACATGTCATTAGATTATATTATAATTTGTCTTAGATCAGTATTAAATGTTAACATTATTGTGACTATTGTCTTAGTCCATTTGGGCTGATAAAACAAAATACTATAAACTGGGTAGTTTATACAAAACAGAAATTTATTTTTTGCAGTTATGGAAACTGGAAAGTCCAAGATCAAGGAGTCAGCAGATGCCTGGTGAGGTCCTGTTCATAATAGATAGTTCCTATCCACAAGGATAGGAATGCATGTGAAGACAGGAACTGTTTCTTGAGTCCACAGTTCCCTACCTGTGTCTTTACATGGTGGAAGGGACCAGCTAGCTCTGAGGAGCTTCTTTTATAAGGGCATTAATCCCATTCATGAGGGCTCCATCTTTGTGACCTAATCACCTTCCAAAAGGCTCTTAATATCATTACCTTGGGAATTAGGATTTCAACATACAATATTTGGGGGACATAAACATTCATACCACAGCAGTACGTGAACATTTCAGAACTGATCTATGTAGCAAACCATGATTAATTTTCCTTCCCTGTTACTTTCTTTTTGCAGGATTTAGAAATTTAGTAATTGGATTTAGTAATTGCTTAGTTTTCCATGCATTTATTGAAATATTTATTTATTAACTCCGTGCTCATTGCCAGTTGTTAGTCCTCTCAAAACATTCTGATGTATTTTATTCTATTTCACCTTCCTGAGAAGGCCCGTAAGAAGTCTTGTCCTGCTCTAACCTGGACTGTTTATTTTCATACTCAGAACAAACTCTCCTTCTGTGATTTTGACATTATCCGCCTGGGGATTCACTCGACTCTCTTCTGTGCAGATGCCCCTGTTTCTTGTGTGGTCATCCTCTTTCTTGGTTTGCTGCTTTATTTTGGTGCAGCATCCTCTCCAGTAGTTACTTGAGATAGGGTACATGGGAGGAAAATTTTTTGAGTTCTTCTTGTCTAGAGTCTTTATTTTACTCTCAAGATGTCATTGACAGCTTGGCTAGGTATAGCATTGTAGGTTGTAAATAATGTTCCTACAAAATTTTGAAGGGTTTGTTCATTTCTTTTTCTTTCTTTCTTTCTTTTTTTCTTTTTTTTGAGACGGAGTCTCGCTCTGTCACCCAGGCTGGAGTGCAGTGGCGCAGTCTCGGCTCACTGCAACCTCCGCCTTAAGGGTTCAAGTGATTCTCCTGCCTCAGCATCCCTAGTAGCTGGGATTATAGGCACATGCCACTATGTGCGGCTAAGTTTTGTATTTTTAGTAGAGATAGGGTTTAGCGATGTTGGCCAGGCTGGTCCTGAACTCCTGACCACAGGTGATCTGCCTGCCTTGGCCTCCCAAAGTGCTGGGATTATAGGTGTGAGCCACCATGCCCAGCCTGTTCATTTCTTTTTAGTTTTATTATTGTCAGCATTCTGAAACCATCTTTACTGTGGATCCTTCCATGAGACCTGCTTTTTCTCCCTGGAAGCTTATGGCATCTTCCCCTAGATCCCAGTGTCCTGATAGGAATCATGGTGTAAGTCTATTCACATCCAATATAGTACAGTGATTTAGAGCATTGAGTGTAGGGCGTGGGCCAGCTGGAGTTGAATGCCACTTTCATCACTTACTGACTGTATTGTCTTGGACAGTTTATTTAATTTTTCTCAGCTTTAATTTCTACATCTGTAAAAGGTAGATAATGATGGTTTTGACAAGGAAATGAGTTAAATATATTAAAGCAGTTAGAACAGTGCCTGGCACAGAGGAAGCCCTAACACTGTTCGTGTTAGCTACTCTTACCATTATCCATTATACCTGACATGCTTCAAACCCTTGCAATCTAGAAACTCATGTCCCTCACTTCCAGAAAATTATCTTAAAAATTAATTCGTATATATTTCTATCTTTTCGTTTTCCCTGTACTTTCTAGAAGAAGTACTATTATTCATGTACTGCACTGGCCTTCTAAATTTTTATCTTTTCTCTCTTGTTTTTTATCCCTTTGCCTTTTGCTGCAATTTGTGGGAGATCCTTTCAGTTTTGTCCTCCAATCACCAGAAGTTTTTCTTTTCTGCTACTATATTTTTATTTTTTTCTCTGAATACTTGCCCTTCTCCTTTGTAAAAGGTAACCTGTTTTATTCATAATTGCTTATTTTTTCTTATCTGTGAGGATATAAAATAGATTTCTTCTCCCTGCATTGTATGTGTTCCCTCAAGGCTATTTTTTCTGCTTATTTTTTATCTCCATCTGTCATGTGAAAAGCTCTCCCAGTAATCCAGGTGTGACAAAGTACATGACTTAAGGAAATGAAGGTGCAGTAGATGATGTGGCTCTGACTCAGGAGTCGTGGAAGAAGTAGAAATCACAGCATAGCTTAGGAAAAAGGATGCGAGTGAATGAAAGGGAGGAACCTAGGATGACTTCTAGATTGTGGGCTTGGGCCATGGGGTACATGCTGTCATCAGAGAGAATGGGAAAGGAAAAATTGTCTTGGGGATGTAGGAGATACATTTCGTTTTTGTTAGGTTGGTGTTTGAAGCTCTCAGGAGACACTCGAGTGGAGATCTCCAGTAGTGGGCTTTACAGATGTGCTGTTCAGGAAAGGGAAAGTAGAGAGATGAAAACTGAAACCATGGATGTCTTTGAGCTCATCCAGGGAGACTACGCAGAATAAAACAGAGATAACAAACAGCCTAAAACCTTGGCTGACAGCATAGAGGAGGCAGATCTTGAGAAAAGAATGAACCGGATATCTAAACTCCAGTGAATTGCATGCTGTAATCTTTTTTTTCTTTGAGGTGGAGTCTTGCTCTGTCACCCAGGCTGGAGTGCAGAGGCGCGATCTCGGCTCACTGTAACCTCCACCTCCCGGGTTCAATCAATTCTCCTGCCTCAGCCTCCTGAGTAGCTGGGATTACAGGCACGTGCCGCCATGTCTGGCTAATTTTTTGTATTTTTAGTAGAGATGGGGTTTCATCATCTTGGCCAGGATGGTCTTGATCTCCTGACCTCGTGATCTGCCTGCTTCTGCCTCCCAAAATGCTGGGATTACAGGCGTGAGCCACCATGCCTGGCCCTAATTTTTGTATTTTTAGTAGAGATGGGGTTTCACCACGTTGGCCAGGCTTGTCTCGAACTCCTAACCTCAAGTGATCCACCTGCCTTGGCCTCCCAAAGTGCTGGGATTACAGGCATGAGCCACCACGCCTGGCCTGCGTGCTGTAATTTTTTTAAATGAAAAATAGTTTGGTATATAATTTTTAAAATCAGTTATTTACTTAGGTTCTTAAGAAATTCAGAACACCAATTTGTGAGGATAGATTTCTTTTTTTTTCTCTTTCCTTCTTTTCTTTCTTTCTTTTTTTTTTTTTTTTGGAGACAGTGTTTCACTCTGTTGCCCAGGCTGAAGTGCAGTGGCATGATCTTGGCTCACTGCAACTTCTGCCTCCTGGGTCAAGTGATCCTCCCACCTCAGCCTTCCCAGTAGCTGGGACCACAGCCATGCGTCACCACACCTGGCTAATTTTCTTTTTTGTGTTTTTAGTAGAGATGCTGTTTTGCCATGTTGCCCAGGCTGGCCTTGAACTCCTGAGCTCCAGCGATCTACCCACCTCAGCCTCCTGAAGTGCTGGGACTACAGGTGTGAGCTACTGCACCTGGCCTGTGAGAATAAATTCCATTCATCAGGGCAAACACAGATCACAGGTAGCCCTGGAGCTGAGGAATAGCTTTGATTTTTGGTAAAATTTGTGAGTCCACAGCTTTCTGATCGATTTGGTGCTGCTCTGTAATCTCGTAGTTCTCTTTTTCTGTGTTGAAGATCTCACCTTCCTGTTTCTGGGCTTCCACAGCTGCTGCTTCTTGAAGTAAGCGTCAGCAGGATGTTTTGGGATTTTTACATTGCTGATTATCAATTTTGGTTGAGGTGGCAGTGACAGATTTCTGGCGTGTTCTTTGTAGAGGATCTTGGTTGAAGACCGGAGGTCCAGTCACAAGTAACAAGCCACTAGCCAGCAGCTTCAGGAAAACCACCCTTTTGCCTCTGTGGTGCTCAGTGAGGGTGATCAGAATGGTCCCAGGGGTGATGCTGGCTCACAGTTTTCTCATGTGCTGACTGAACGGTTTTTTTGCCGTGGCTCAACAGCTTTTGAGGCACATCTTCAGTAGGATAATATCTAGGCATTTTGCGATGTTTAACCACCTGGGTACCACCGTTCTTGTCACCACCAACTGGTTTTGTAATAGTTGCAAGAACTTCTTTTTCTTTTCAACCTTGGATTCAGCAGCTGAGTGCTTCCTCTTGTACATGGCCTTTCTGGAATACATGGCTGATTGGGAATACCTGCCAATTCCTCTGACAAAGACAGGATTTCAGCTGCAATGGGGCTTCTCCCTCTTGGGCTTTTTAGTCTTGAGGCTGCCCCTTTTTACCTTGCCACCAGCATCAGCCTTCTTGGCTTCTGGTTTCTTCTCTTTAGGATCTGGCTTCTCAACCTTTTCACCCACCATCTTGCAAGATGGGAAAGAGAACTCAGCATAGAAATTTAATAGTGAATTATTGGAATTTATGGAATCTTTTTGTTTTCAGTTGACAAAGTGTATTAAAATTTTATCCGTGAAAACATTTTATCTAATAACAAAGAAAAAACAGAAGAAAGAAAAAAATTAACAAGAATTTATTATGTACTTGAAACTCTTCTAGGCATTCTATTTATATTCTTTAGTCCTTACCACAACTGCAAGGGAGAAAGGGGCAAGAAAGAGGAGAGCAGAGTTCTAACATCAGGAGGAGAAGAAAGTCTGGGGCTGGGGCTGGGCCAGACTCTTGATGAGGCAGGACCTACGCCATCAGTTGACAGAGCAGCAAGAATGGAGGGAAAAAGGCTCCCCTTTGCTCATTGTCTGTATCTCAGGATCTTGCTTTCCCTAGGACAGAGGTTTCTCTAACCTCTTTTCACCTTTTTATTTTATTTAGAAATACGGTCTTGCTTTGTTGCTCAGGCTGGAGTGCAGTGGCACCATCATAGCTCACTGCAGCTTCAAATTCGTGGCCTCAACTGATCCTCCTGCTTTGGCCTCCCAAAGTGCTGAGATTACAGGCATGAGCCACTGTACATAATATACTCTTTTCATTGTAGTTCTAAGAACAGTTATCTTCTTTCCCATTCCAGTAAATGGCACCATTTTTATTCCATTGCTTAGGCCAGAAACCCAGGGGGTCATCTGTGATTCCTCCAGGTCCTTCATCTCCTCTTTGGTCCAATCTATTGGCAAGTATCATGGGCTCTACCTCCTGAATATATTCCACATGTATCAATTTCTCTCTTACCTCTATCATCCTCACCCTAGTCTCCATCATCTCTTGTTTGGAATATGGAGAAGGCCTCTTAACTGACCTCCTTGCTTTCATTTTTGACTTTCCTATAGTCTGTCCTCAACAGCCAAAGTGATCTTTTAAAAATGGCAGTCATGTTATTGCCAAAAAGATCCTGTCACTTCCCTGAGTAATGCCCTTCCCCACGGCCTACCAGGCCCTGTGCTTTTTTTTTTTTTTAATTAATTAATTAATTATTATTATACTTTAAGTTTTAGGGTACATGTGCACAATGTGCAGGTTAGTCACATATGCATACATGTGCCATGCTGGTGCGCTGCACCCACCAGCTTGTCATCTAGCATTAGGTATATCTCCCAATGCTATCCCTCCCCCCTCCCCCCACCCCACAACAGTCCCCAGAGTGTGATGTTCCCCTTCCTGTGTCCATGTGTTCTCATTGTTCAATTCCCACCTATGAGTGAGAATATGCAGTGTTTGGTTTTTTGTTCTTGTGATAGTTTACTGAGAATGATGATTTCCAATTTCATCCATGTCCCTACAAAGGACATGAACTCATCATTTTTTATGGCTGCATAGTATTCCATGGTGCATATGTGCCACATTTTCTTAATCCAGTCTATCATTGTTGGACATTTGGGTTGGTTCCAAGTCTTTGCTATTGTGAATAATGCCACAATAAACATACGTGTGCATGTGTCTTTATAGCAGCATGATTTATAGTCCTTTGGGTATATACCCAGTAATGGGATGGCTGGGTCAAATGGTATTTCTAGTTCTAGATCCCTGAGGAATCACCACACCGACTTTCACAATGGTTGAACTAGTTTACAGTCCCACCAACAGTGTAAAAGTGTTCCTATTTCTCCACATCCTCTCCAGCACCTGTTGTTTCCTGACTTTTTAATGATTGCCATTCTAACTGGTGTGAGATGGTATCTCATTGTGGTTTTGATTTGCATTTCTCTGATGGCCAGTGATGATGCACATTTTTTCATGTGCCTGTTGGCTGCATAAATGTCTTCTTTTGAGAAGTGTCTGTTCATGTCCTTTGCCCACTTTTTGATGGGGTTGTTTTTTTCTTGTAAATTTGAGTTCATTGTAGATTCTGGATATTAGCCCTTTGTCAGATGAGTAGGTTGTGAAAATTTTCTCCCATTTTGTAGGTTGCCTGTTCAGTCTGAGGGTACTTTCTTTTGCTGTGCAGAAGCTCTTTAGTTTAATTAGATCCCATTTGTCAATTTTGGCTTTTGTTGCCATTGCTTTTGGTGTTATAGACATGAAGTCCTTGCCCATGCCTATGTCCTGAATGGTAATGCCTAGGTTTTCTTCTAGGGTTTTTATGGTTTTAGGTCTAACGTTTAAGTCTTTAATCCATCTTGAATTGATTTTTGTATAAGGTGTAAGCAAGGGATCCAGTTTCAGCTTTCTACATATGGCTAGCCAGTTTTCCCAGCACCATTTATTAAATAGGGAATCCTTTCCCCATTGCTTGTTTTTGTCAGGTTTGTCAAAGATCAGATAGTTGTAGATATGCGGCATTATTTCTGAGGGCTCTGTTCTGTTCCATTGATCTATATTTCTGTTTTGGTACCAGTACCATGCTGTTTTGGTTACTGTAGCCTTGTAGTATAGTTTGAAGTCAGGTAGCGTGATGCCTCCAGCTTTGTTCTTTTGGCTTAGTATTGACTTGGCGATGCGGGCTCTTTTTGGGTTCCATATGAACTTTAAAGTAGTTTTTTCCAATTCTGTGAAGAAAGTCATTTGTAGCTGGATGGGAATTGCATTGAATCTGTAAATTACCTTGAGCAGTATGGCCATTTTCACGATATTGATTCTTCCTACCCATGAGCATGGAATGTTCTTCCATTTGTTTGTTTCCTCTTCTATTTCGTTGAGTAGTGGTTTGTAGTTCTCCTTGAAGAGGTCCTTCACATCCCTTGTAAGTTGGATTCCTATGTATTTTATTCTCTTTGAAGCAATTGTGAATGGGAGTTCACTCATGATTTGGCTCTCTGTTTGTCTGTTGTTGGTGTATAAGAATGCTTATGATTTTTGTACATTGATTTTGTATCCTGAGACTTTGCTGAAGTTGCTTATCAGCTTAAGGAGATTTTGGGCTGAGACAATGGGGTTTTCTAGATATACAATCATGTCGTCTGCAAACAGGGACAATTTGACTTCCTCTTTTCCTAACTGAATACCCTTTATTTCCTTCTCCTGCCTAATTGCCCTGGCCAGAACTTCCAACACTATGTTGAATAGGAGTGGTGAGAGAGGGCGTCCCTGTCTTGTGCCAGTTTTCAAAGGGAATGCTTCCAGTTTTGCCCATTCAGTATGATATTGGCTGTGGATTTGTCATAGATAGCTCTTATTATTTTGAGATATGTCCCATCAATACCTAATTTATTGAGAGTTTTTAGCATGAAGGGTTGTTGAATTTTGTCGAAGGCCTTTTCTGCATCTATTGGGATAATCATGTGGTTTTTGTGTTTGGGTCTGTTTATATGCTGGATTACATTTATTGATTTGCTTATATTGAACCAGCCTTGCATCCCAGGGATGAAGCCCACTTGATCATGGTGGATAAGCTTTTTGATGTGCTGCTGGATTCAGTTTGCCAGTATTTTATTGAGGATTTTTGCATTAATGTTCATCAAAGATATTTGTCTAAAATTCTCTTTTTTGGTTGTGTCTCTGCCCGGCTTTGGTATCAGGATGATGCTGGCCTCATAAAATGAGTTAGGGAGGATTCCCTCTTTTTCTGTTGATTGGAATAGTTTCAGAAGGAATGGTACCAGTTCCTCCTTGTACCTCTTGTAGAATTCGGCTGTGAATCCATCTGGTCCTGGACTCCTTTTGGTTGGTAAGCTATTGATGATTGCCACAATTTCAGATCCTGTTATTGGTCTATTCAGAGATTCAACTTCTTCCTGGTTTAGTCTTGGGAGAGTGTATGTGTCGAGGAATTTATCCATTTCTTCTAGATTTTCTAGTTTATTTGCATAGAGGTATTTGTAGTATTCTCTGATGGTAGTTTGTATTTCTGTGGGATCGGTGGTGATATCCCCTTTATCATTTTTTAGTGCGTCTATTTGATTCTTCTCTCTTTTTTTCTTTATTAGTCTTGCTAGCGGTCTATCAATTTTGTTGATCCTTTCAAAAAACCAGCTCCTGGATTCATTAATTTTTTGAAGGGTTTTTTGTCTCTATTTCCTTCAGTTCTGCTCTGATCTTAGTTATTTCTTGCCTTCTGCTAGCTTTTGAATGTGTTTGCTCTTGCTTTTCTAGTTCTTTTAATTGTGATGTTAGGGTGTCAATTTTGGATCTTTCCTGCTTTCTCTTGTGGGCATTTAGTGCTATAAATTTCCCTCTACACACTGCTTTGAATGCGTCCCAGAGATTCTGGTATGTTGTGTCTTTGTTCTCGTTGGTTTCAAAGAACATCTTTATTTCTGCCTTCATTTCATTATGTACCCAGTATTCATTCAGGAGCAGGTTGTTCAGTTTCCATGTAGTTGAGCGGTTTTGAGTGAGATTCTTAATCCTGAGTTCTAGTTTGATTGCACTGTGGTCTGAGAGATAGTTTGTTATAATTTCTGTTCTTTTACATTTGCTGAGGAGTGCTTTACTTCCAAGTATGTGGTCAATTTTGGAATAGGTGTGGTGTGGTGCTGAAAAAAATGTATATTCTGTTGATTTGGGGTGGAGAGTTCTGTAGATGTCTATTAGGTCCGCTTGGTGCAGAGCTGAGTTCAATTCCTGGGTATGCTTGTTGACTTTCTGTCTCGTTGATCTGTCTAAAGTTGACAGTGGGGTGTTAAAGTCTCCCATTATTAATGTGTGGGAGTCTAAGTCTCTTTGTAGGTCACTCAGGACTTGCTTTATGAATCTGGGTGCTCCTGTATTGGGTGCATATATATTTAGGATAGTTAGCTCTTCTTGTTGAATTGATCCCTTTACCATTATGTAATGGCCTTCTTTGTCTCTTTTGATCTTTGTTGGTTTAAAGTCTGTTTTATCAGAGACTAGGATTGCAACCCCTGCCTTTTTTTGTTTTCCATTTGCTTGGTAGATCTTCCTCCATCCTTTTATTTTAAGCCTATGTGTGTCTCTGCACGTGAGTTGGGTTTCCTGAATACAGCACACTGATGGGTCTTGACTCTTTATCCAATTTGCCAGTCTGTGTCTTTTAATTGGAGCATTTAGTCCATTTACATTTAAAGTTAATATTGTGATGTGTGAATTTGATCCTGTCATTACGATGTTAGCTGGTTATTTTGCTCGTTAGTTGATGCAGTTTCTTCCTAGTCTCGATGGTCTTTACATTTTGGCATGATTTTGCAGCAGCTGGTACCGGTTGTTCCTTTCCATGTTTAGTGCTTCCTTCAGGAGCTCTTTTAGGGCAGGCCTGGTGGTGACAAAATCTCTCAGCATTTGCTTGTCTGTAAAGTATTTTATTTCTCCTTCACTTATGAAGCTAAGTTTGGCTGGATATGAAATTCTGGGTTGAAAATTCTTTTCTTTAAGAATGTTGAATATTGGCCCCCACTCTCTTCTGGCTTGTAGAATTTCTGCCAAGAGATCTGCTGTTAGTCTGATGGGCTTCCCTTTGAGGGTAACCCGACCTTTCTCTCTGGCTGCCCTTAACATTTTTTCCTTCATTTCAACTTTGGTGAATCTGACAATTATGTGTCTTGGAGTTGCTCTTCTCGAGGAGTATCTTTGTGGTGTTCTCTGTATTTCCTGAATCTGAATGTTGGCCTGCCTTGCTAGATTGGGGAAGTTCTCCTGGATAATATCCTGCAGAGTGTTTTCCAACTTGGTTCCATTCTCCCTGTCACTTTCAGGTACACCAATCAGATGTAGATTTGGTCTTTTCACATAGTCCCATATTTCTTGGAGGCTTTGTTCGTTTCTTTTTATTCTTTTTTCTCTAAACTTCCCTTCTCACTTCATTTCATTCATTTCATCTTCCATCGCTGATACCCTTTCTTCCAGTTGATCGCATCGGCTCCTGAGGCTTCTGCATTCTTCACGTAGTTCTCGAGCCTTGGCTTTCAGCTCCATCAGCTCCTTTAAGCACTTCTCTGTATTGGTTATTCTAGTTATACATTTTTCTAAATTTTTTTCAAAGTTTTCGACTGCTTTGTCTTTGGTTTGAATGTCCTCCTGTAGCTCGGAGTAATTTGATCATCTGAAGCCTTCTTCTCTCAATTCGTCAAAGTCATTCTCCGTCCAGCTTTGTTCCATTGCTGGTGAGGAACTGCGTTCCTTTGGAGGAGGAGAGTCGCTCTGCTTTTTAGAGTTTCCAGTTTTTCTGCTCTGTTTTTTCCCCATCTTTGTGGTTTTGTCTACTTTTGGTCTTTGATGATGGTGATGTACAGATGGGTTTTTGGTGTGGATGTCCTTTCTGTTTGTTAGTTTTCCATCTAACAGACAGGACCCTCAGCTGCAGTTCTGTTGGAGTACCCGGCCGTGTGAGGTGTCAGTCTGCCCCTGCTGGGGGGTGACCAGGCCCTGTGCTTTCTCCCACTCGCCTTGCTCTCTGACCTCATTCCTCCCACTCATGATCCAGCCCCACTGGGCTCTAGATCATGGCCTACTTGCTGTTTCCGACACATCAGACTTGTTCCCACCTTAGAGCCTTTGCTCTTGTTTATTTTCCCCAAGGTTCTCAGCCCTCACATTTTTGCAGAGTTGCCTCCTGATTATTGAGGACTTGGATCAAATAACATCTGCTGTGGGAGGCCTCCTGGGACCTCCCCACCACCCCCCAGAGAAACTGGCCTTTCCTTTTACTCAGTCACTTGCAGTGACAGCACCTTGTTTTAGTTCCTTTACAGCACTAACATCACTCTCTGCAGTTATTTATTTGCTTGCTTTTTTATTTGCCTGTGTTTCTCTGTGTTGTCTCTAGTGTCTACAATAATACCTACTCAGAGTAGCCACTCTTATCAGTATTTGTTGGATAAATGAATGTATTACTTTAAAAATTGTCAAAGCCAGGAGTGGTGGCACGGCCAGTAGTGCCAGCTACTCAGGAGGCTGAGGTGGAAGGATCACTCGAGCTCAGATGTCCGAGGCTGCAGTGAGCTATGATCACGCCTCTTCACTCCAGCTGGGGCAACAGAGTGAGACCCTGTCTCTAATAACTTTTTAAAAAAGATTGTTGAAAAGGTGCCACTTTTTTTTTTTTTTTCCCTTTGAGACAGGGTCTCACTCCAATGCCCAGGCTGGAGTGTAGTGGTACGATCATGGCTCACTGTAGCCTGGACTTCCTGTACTCAGATGACTCTCCCACCTCAGCCTTCTGAGTAACTGGGACTACAGCCATGCACCACCATGCCTGGCTAATTTTTTTTTTTTATTATTATACTTTAAGTTTTAGGGAACATGTGCACAACGTGCAGGTTTGTTACATATGTATACATGTGCCATGTTGGTGTGCTGCACCCATTAACTCGTCATTTAACATTAGGTATATCTCCTAATGCTATCCCTCCCCCCTCCCCCGACCCCACAACAGTCCCTGGTGTGTGAGGTTCCCCTTCCTGTGTCCATGTGTTCTCATTGTTCAATTCCCACCTATGAGTGAGAACATGCAGTTTTTGGTTTTTTGTCCTTGCGATAGTTTGCTGAGAATGATGGTTTCCAGCTTCATCCATGTCCCTACAAAGGACATGAACTCATCATTTTTTATGGCTGCATAGTATTCCATGGTGTATATGTGCCACATTTTCTTAGTCCAGTCTATCATTGTTGGACATTTGGGTTGGTTCCAAGTCTTTGCTATTGTGAATAGTGCCACAATAAACATACATGTGCATGTGTCTTTATAGCAGCATGATTTATAATCCTTTGGGTATATACTGAGTAATGGGATGGCTGGGTCAAATGGTATTTCTAGTTCTAGATCCCTGAGGAATCGCCACACCAATTTCCACAATGGTTGAACTAGTTTACAGTCCCACCAACAGTGTAAAAGTGTTCCTATTTCTCCACATCCTCTCCAGCACCTGTTGTTTCCTGACTTTTTAATGATTGCCATTCTAACTGGTGTGAGATGGTATCTCATTGTGGTTTTGATTTGCATTTCTCTGATGGCCAGTGATGATGAGCATTTTTTCATGTGTTTTTTGGCTGCATAAATGTCTTCTTTTGAGAAGTGTCTGTTCATATCCTTTGCCCACTTTTTGATGGGGTTATTTGTATTTTTCTTGTAAATTTGTTTGAGTTCATTGTAGATTCTGGATATTAGCCCTTTGTCAGATGAGTAGGTTGCAAAAATTTTCTCCCATTCTCTAGGTTGCCTGTTCACTGTGATGATGGTTTCTCTTGCTGTGCAGAAGCTCTTGAGTTTAATTAGATCCCATTTGTCAATTTTGGCTTTTGTTGCCATTGCTTTTGGTGTTTTAGACATGAAGTCCTTGCCCATGCCTATGTCCTGAATGGTGTTGCTTAGGTTTTCTTCTAGGGTTTTTATGGTTTTAGGTCTAACATGTAAGTCTTTAATCCGTCTTGAATTAATTTTTGTATAAGGTGTAAGGAAGGGATCCAGTTTCAGCTTTCTACACATGGCTAGCCAGTTTTCCCAGCACCACTTATTAAATAGGGAATCCTTTCCCCATTGTTTGTTTTTGTCAGGTTTGTCAAAGATCAGATAGTTGTAGATGTGCGGCTTTATTTCTGAGGGCTCTGTTCTGTTCCATTGGTCTATATCTCTGTTTTGGTAATGCCCGGCTACTTTTTTGTATCTTTAGTAGAAATTGCGTTTCGCCATGTTGCCCAGGATGGTCTTGAACTCCTGACTCAAGAGATTCACCCAAAGTGCTGGGATTACAGGTGTGAGTCACCACAAATGACCAAAAAGGTGCCACTTTTGAAGAGTGCTCAAGGGGTTTGAGTCTGCTGTTCAATCTTATATATTCTTTGACCCACATATTTTTTCAGCTTTATTGAGGTGTAATTGGCTGTGACATAAACTGCACCTGCTTAAGGTATACAATTTGATGAGTTTTGACATGTGTCTGCACCTGTGGGACACACTCACAGTGAAGGTAATGAACATGCCATTGGCCCAAGAGTTTCCTTGTACCCCTTGTAATCCATCCCTTCTCACTGTTCTCCCACCGCCAGCCTCTAGGCAACCACTGATCTGCTTTCTGGCACTATAAATTGGTTTGCATTTTGAGAATTTTATATAAATAGAATCATTCAGTATATACTATATTTTGGTTTCTTGTATTCAGCATAATTATTTTAAGATTCATCCATGTTATTGCATGTGTGTTCCTTTTTATTGCTGAGTAGGATTCTATTGTCAGGATATATCACACTTCGTTTATCCAGGAACCTATTGGTAAACATTTGGGTTGCTTCTAGTTCTCAGTGCTTACAAATAAAACTGCTGTGAGTGTTATCTGGGCATATGCTCTCATTTCTTTGGAGTAAATACCTCCAGGAGAGAAATGGCTGGCTTATAGGTGCATGTTTAATTGGTTACATTTTCAAATCTCTGTTCTAGTTCTGAGGGAACTGGGGGGCTAGGTGAAGGATCTGTAACTTACCCAAGGTGACACAGCTTTTTTTTCTTCTTTTTGAGACCAAGGTCTCACTCTATCGATGGAGTGCAATGTCCCAATCGCGGCTCACTGAAGCCTCGACTCCTGGTCTCAAGCAATCCTCCCACCCCAGCCTAAGGAGTAGCTGGGACTGCAGGCACCCACAACTGCCTTAGCTAATTTTGGCATTTTTTGCCAAAATAAGGGTTTCACCTTATTGCCTAGGCTGGTCTCGAACTCCTGGGCTCAAGTGATCCACCCACCTCGGCCTTCCAAAGTGTTGGGATTACAGACATGAGCCCCTGTGCCCTGCCTCAAGGCGATGCAACTTTTAAGGGAGTGATGAGACGCAAGTCTAGATTTCTGTCACTTCAAAGTTCATTATTTTCCAGAAGCCTGTGCTGTTGAGTTACTTATTTGGTCCACTTTTGACCTGGGGCCTGCATGGCCTGCCGATATCTGCTGATACCCTGCTGACACTCTGCTCTCATTAAGGCCTCTAGGACCTGCTGATGCCTGAATGTGTGGCTTTTTTTTTTTTTTCATAACACACTATGATTCTGTAGCCTGCATGTCTTGCTTACTGGGACTAGTAGGTGTTGCTTACTTAGTACTTATGTAGCCAGGGTTTGCTGAGGCTGCTTTCAGCCAGTATTGTGCTAAGTAAGGCCCTTGCTGACCCATGTATTTGATAAAGAACTTAACTTTACTTAAGGTGGGTGAGGCCTATGTACAATTTGCTTCAGGCCCAGTTAATATGGGCTTTTGTCTCTAAAAACAGCACTCAAGATGACCTGAGCCCAGGAATTGAGGTGATACTGAGCTATGATCACACCACTGCACTTCAGCCTGTGTGACAGTAAGACACTGTCTCGAAACAAAACACCCCCCCACCCCACAAAAACCCAAAAAACCCCCAGCAATTGAAGAGCTTTCATAGCTTCAGTGACCAATCAGAGTGAAAATCTCTTATCTCATGTGATTAGTTTCTTGGGCTTAAACTGCTTGCTCAGGTCATAATAGTTAAAAATCCAACTGCACAATTGTAAAGTTGAGTCTTATTACCCAGAAATAATCTCTGGAGATTTTCAAGGTTAAAATGCCCAACCTGCCTCTTGAATCCAAGGCCCAAAGCCATATACCCTGGCCCCACCAGAATCCTTGTTATTTTGGTCTCCACATTCCACCCTAATTCTCAACAATTCTGGTCAATTATACTGGATGCTAGAGTTTTGACGGGCACCAAAACTGTGATACCCTTGTTCTTTGTCTAGGATCTGGACCAAATATGCAATAATACCAAAGAATAAACAGGTAGGAAATCCAAACATCAGCTTTATGATTGCAAAAGCTCACATTGAAGACATGGCTTGTATAGGGGCAAGTGGGCCCCATACTAAAATTTGGAATAAGATAAATTTCCCTATCCAATCTCTGGCAGTTCTGGGCCACAGCAGGCCTTCTGGGCAGCAGGGCCATTTTCAGCAAGTGTCCTAAAACCTGTAAACAAAAATAGTGATTTTTTTTTTTTTTTTTTTTAGATGGAGTCTCGCTCTTATTGCCCCGGCTGGAGTCCAGTGGTGCAGTCTTGGCTCACTGCAACCTCCACCTCCCAGATTCAGGCGATTCTCCTGCCTCAGCCTCCTGAGTACTTGGGAATACAGGCACCCGCCACCACGCCCGGCACTTTTTGTGTTTTTAGTAGAGACATGGTTTCACCATGTTGGTCAGGCTGATCTTGAACTCCTGGCCTCAAGCAATCCACCCCCCTTGGCCTCCCAAAGTGCTAGGATTACAGTCATGAGCCACCATGCCCAGCCTTTTTTATTTTTAAATTTTATTTATTTATTAATTTTTTTATTTCAGTAGCTTTAGGGGTACAGGTGGTTTTTGGTTACATGGATGAATTTTATAGTGGTGAAGTCTGGGTTTTTAGTGCACCCATCACCCGAATAGTGTAGATTGTACCCAATAGGTAGTTTTCAATCCCTTATTACCCCCCACCCTGCTCTGATTCTCTAATGTTCATTATACCACTCTGCATGCCGCTGTACATCCATAGCTTAGCTCCCACTTATAAGTGAGAACATTCGGTATTTGGTTTTCTGTTCCTGAGTTACTTCATTTCCGTCGATAATGGCCTCCAGTTTCATCCAAGTTGCTGCAAAAGATTTTTTTTTTGGCTGTATACTATTCTGTGGCATATATCATACCACATTTTCTTTATCCGCTCATCAGTTGATGGTCACAGGTTGATTCCATATCTTTGCAGTTGTGAATTGTACTGTCATAAACATATGTGTGCAGTTGTCTTTTTAATATAATGACTTCTTTTCCTTTGGGTAGTTGCCCAGTAGTGAGATTCCTGGATTAATGGTAGATGTATTTTTAATTCTTTGAGAAATCTCCCTACTGTTAGCCATAGAGGTTGTACTAATTTACTTTCCCACCAGCAGTGTTTAAGCAAAGAATCTAGGGATCTTAGTCTTCTGTATTTGTAACAAAGGGCATAATATTAGTCTGAATTAATCCTAGAGAAGGAACAAGCTGTATAAGCCATTCTACTGGGGGCCTCAGGCTCTATTTTGGGATTTTCTCCTAATAGGCTCCTACTGTTCTTCTTAGTGTCAGTCCCTCTCCTTTGCTTTTTTTTTTTTTTTTTTTTTTTGGAGACAGGGTCTCTCTTTCGCCCAGGCTGGAGTGCAATGGCACGATCTTGGCTCACTGCAACCTCCGTCTGGAAGGTGCAAGCGATTCTTGTGCCTCAGCCGTCTGAGTAGCTGGAACTACAGACATTTGCCACCATGCCCAGCTAATTTTTGTATTTTTGTAGAGAAGGGGTTTCACCATGTTGCCCAGTTTGGTCTCTAACTCCTGAGCTCAAGCCATCCACCCCCCTCAGCCTCCTGAAGTGCTGAGATTAGAAGCGTGAGCCACCGGGCGTTTGCTTCTAATCATCCACCTCCATGCTAAAGGATTGCTTTTCACTTTGAAACTTTCACAACATTCAAATGTAGATGTCGCCTTTGTAGACTTCAGTTGCAGGTGCCCTTTTTTCCCGCATCACGTTAACTCTATAAAATTAACTCCTTCCAAGTGCCAGAGGAAAATTCCCTCTCTCTTACTGTTTCAGAGATTGCTCACCATATATCTATTTCCTGTTGGAATTTAAATTTACTCTCCCACTCTCACCAACTATGTAGAACAGGTAAGACAAGCATACTGTGAACCCAACAAATGACCAAACATATACTAGCCTGGTTCACCTGCACTGCCACCTCCTTTCCCAGGTACTCTGTTGCATCAAAACTCAGGTGTACCCAGGGGAGTGTCAGAATTCTAGCACTGCAGTTTGTGGAATTACTTTACACAAGTAGTAGAAATAGCTGACATAACTTCCTTCAAACTAAGAGGAGAGTTATTTCCTAATGGTGGCCTTCATTTATCATGAGATCACATAAGTATATATATTTTTTGTTTTCTCATGACCCTTTTAGTATTTGAAAGAAATTTCTAAGTTTTACTAACAAAAGGCTTTGGAAAACAAATCAGAAAATTGGAAGCAGGAGAAAAGGAGTAGCCTTTTTTTTTTTTTTTTTTGATCCTGACATTGTTATTTTTCTGGGTTAGATGAAACAGATGTTATTAATAACAACGATCACCACAATAGCTAATATTTACTGAGCATTTATAATGCCCCAGGCATAGTAGCTAGAAATGGTCAGATGAGAAGGCTGGAAGTTTATACCAGATGCCTGGGATTGATCTCTAGTTTTCCTAAGAAATGCTTTAGCTCAACAGCACTCTTTGTTCAGATTAGTTTTGTCTAGAGTGTTAGGTGCATATCCTCCTGGCCTAGCAATTTAGGATGAAGAAAAATACTTCTGTTCTTTTGTAGTTATGGCCTTAGGGTTGAACTTCTGTTTAGAAAGTATAAGGAAAGGATAAATGACCACTTTACTATTAGTGAAAAATGTCTCATTTGCTCTGGTTTCATCTCCTTTCTTGGGGGCTCTTGGTTGACGTGGTGAAGGATCTGTTTTGCTTATGTATTCTTTTAGGGAGGCCACTGTAAAGTAGTTTAGAACCTAGGATGAGTGCTGGGAAATATTTTCTGTATTTAGGATCATGAATGTTTTAATCAGGTAATTACTTCAAAATAAAAGTTATTCAGACCTATAAATTAAAATACTACCCTTTCAGCCTGGATATTATTCTTTCAGAATGCCAGTTAACATGTTTTCCATGCACCTGTATTTAGACCTCGAAAGGCACATGAATTAAAGGTTTAGGGTTGGCAAGGTGAGTAGTAGTAATCAGGATGTGGTTTAGTTTGAGTCGCAAGAATAATAGTTTATACAAGTGAAACCCATGAACTTTTATTATTTTACTTTTCATATACAGTATAGGCTCAGGAGTCAACCTCTACCATCTTGCTGTTCTGTTTACTACCTTAGTCTGTGGTAAGTTGCTTAATTGCAATCAGCCTTTCTTCACTTATGGGCCAATGAAGGTAATAATGATACCTACTTGATAAGGTTGTTGGGAGGAGGATATGAATTACCTAAGGGACCTGCTACATGGAAGACCCTGTGATAGGTCCTCAGGTAATATGTTTAGGAAAGACTCAACAAATGGCAGTTATTATCGTAGAAAATCAGTATGAGTAATTTGCTCTTATGGCTGACAAACCCCATTAATCTCATTTATTACAACTTGTAATGCATTTTCTTCTCATAATTCTAGGATTTAAGTAGGCGATGAGAATTTATGTTTATAAGCTTAATAACATCTGATCTGATGAGCTGCAGTCAGAAAAGATTGTTGGGAAAAGGACCACAAATAATACTATAAATAGCATGCTACCAGTGCAGGGTAAACAAGTCTTTCCAGTTAGTTTTGTTGACAGGATACTTTGTTTTACCTTCTGGTCATTTTATCCTGAAGGTGGAGCAGGTGCCGTTTCAGGCTAAGCACTTTGCAGTCCCATCTACTACCCTTCTCCAGGTCCTGACTTGGCCTCTAGGTCCTGACTTGGCCTGTCCATTCTTCTCATGTCCTTGCATTTCATTTTCTGCAGGCATCACTTACTGGAAGCTTTGGTATTTATTAGGCTCCCTTGTAAAATCCTAAGAACAAAGACAATTGAGTCATCTCAACAGTCCAGCTCCTCATGGAGTCATCAGGATGTTATCAGCCTGTAGGAGTTACTGGAAATAACCACGACTCCTTCTATTTTTATTCCTTTTCCTTCAGTTCCTTTTTTCTCAATTATAAAAATGGTAATTGCTAGCCATTTCAAAGATAGCAGATAGTACAAAAAATATAAAGAAGAACAAATCATCACTAATTCAGCATACAGAAGCAATCATTATGAAAATTTTAGTGTTTCTCCATTTAGTTGCTTATTATTTTAACATGGCTAGGAGGATTCTGTTTGCCTATCGATAAGAAAAAATGATCATGTTTAATCTTGTAAATATTTCTCCTTGTTAAAATGTTTACTTTTTAAAAAGTTTTTTAAATTTTTATTTTTTGAGGCAGGATGTCACTCTGTCACCCAGGCTGGAGTGCAGTGGTGTGATCATGGCTCAGTGTAGCTTAGACCTCCCAAGCTCAAGTGATTCTTCCACCTCTTCCTCCTGAGTAGCTCGGACTACAGGTGCATGCCACCAGGACCGGCTAATTAAAAAAAATTTTTTTTGTAGAGACAGAGTCTCACTATGTTGCTCAGACTGGTCTAGAACTCCTGGGCTCAAGTGATCCTCCCACCTTGGCCTCCCAAAGTGCTGGGATTACAGGGGTGAGCCACTGTACCTCTCCCGCTTACATTAAAAAAAGCTCCATATCACCTCATTGTATGGTTGTACTATAATTTACTTAATCAGTCTCTCTTTGGACATTTAAGTTGGCCTAGTTTTCTGCTTTTATAAATATGCTGTTATAAATAGGAATGTATTTATAAATAACAATACTATTATAAATAGGAACATCCGCCCCAAAGAAATAATAAATCTTGGCTGGGTGCGGTGGGTCACACCTGTAATCCTAGCACTTTGGGAGGCCAAGGTGGGCAGATCACGAGGTCAAGAGATGGAAACCATCTGGCCAACATGGTGAAGTCCCATCTGTACTCAAAATACAAAAAAATTAGCTGGGCGTGGTGGCACCTGTAGTCCCAGCTACTCAGGAGGCTGAGGCAGGAGAATCACTTGAACCCGGGAGGCAGAGGTTGCAGTGAGCTGAGATCATGCCACTGCAATCCAGCCTGGCGACAGAGCGAAAAAAAATAATAAATCTTTGCCAATATTGAAGTTCGTTTATTAAAACATCTTCTTAATAAACAAAGGCTCTTAGTACATATTGCCAGACTTTACCCAGAAAGGTTTTATGAATTTTATTTCCCACCTGCAGTATATGAGAATGTATCTTTCACTCAACTCTTAAAAGCTGGGGATATTTACCTTAAAATTGCATATTCTTGTTGTTATGCAAAACATGTTATCTTATTTCACTGTACTTTAAAAAAAATTAGTAGTGATGGCCAGGTGCAGTGGCTTGCACCTGCAGTCCCAGCACTTTGGGAGGCCGAGGTAGGGGGATTGCTTAAGCCCAAGAATTCGAAACCAGCCTGGGCAACATGGAGAAATCCCATCTCTACAAAAAATATAAAAATTAACCAGGCATGGTAGTGTGCGCCTGTGGTCCCAGCTACCTGGGAGCTGAGGTGGGAAGATCACCTAAGCTCCAGAGGTCAATGCTTCAGTGAGCCATAATAGCACCATTGTACTCCAGCCTGGGTGACAGAATGAAACCCTGTCTCAAAAAAACAAAAAAAACTAAAAAAACTAGTGGTGATGTTGTCCTAATTTCTGTTTTCTTTTCTTCTTTTCTTTTCTTTTCTTTTTTTTTTTTTTTTGAGATGGAGTCTTGCTCTGTCACTCAGGCTGGAGTGGAATGGCATGATCTTGGCTCACTGCAACCTCTCACTCCCAGGTTCATGTGATTCTCCTGCCTCAGCCTCCCAAGTAGCTGGGAATACAGGTACCCACCACCACGCCCAGCTAATTTTTGTATTTTTAGTGGAGACAGGGTTTCATCATGTTGGTCAGGCTGATCTTGAACTCCTGACCTCAGGTGATCCTCCCACCTCAGCCTCCTAAAGTGCTGGGATTACAGGTGTGAGCCACCACGCCTGGCTGTTTTCTGCTGCTATAACAGAGTACCACGGACAAAGTAATTTATAAAGAAAAGATATTTATTTCGTTCATTGTTCTGGAGGCTGGGAAGCCCAAAATCATGGGCTTCCCAAAGGGTCACATCTGGCCAGGGCCTTCTTGCTGCATCGTAACATGTCAGAAGGCATCACATGGCATTCCCACTATAACGAACCCATTCTTCCCCACTATAACAGCATTCATCTATCCAGAGCCCTCATGACCTAATTACCTCTTAAAGGGCCCACTTCTCAACATTGTTAAAATGACAATTAAATGTCAACATGAGTTTTGGAAGGGACACTACAACCATGGAAGATGTTGATCACTTTTTTTCAAGTATTTTGTCTTTTTTTCTGGGAAGTGATAGTGTTTTTATTGTTGAGTTAAAAAAATACTGAATTTGGCTTTTTACCTTGTGTCATGTCTGAGTAAACAGTCTACTTTTTCCATTACTGCCAATTTCCTTTATATCTGTTTTGGATTTATCTCTCATGAATTTACGTAAACTCTTTTTGAACCTATAGGATTTTTCTGTCTTTCAAGCTTCTAGAAGTTTTACCCTGTGCTGCCTTTCAGAGCGTGGGAAACAGTTCCACAGCCAAGTCTGGTTACCTTTTCTTTTGGCACTTTCCCCTCAGACTTTACATTCCCAGCCTTTTCTGTTGGTTTTCCTGAGGAGTATCTTTCACCCCAAATTCTACTTACAGAGGCTGGAAGTACATGAAATACTTCCTGTGATTTGTAGAACTGGATCTCAAAATGAAGGTGCATACATATTGAACATATGTAGATGCCTTTTGAGTGTGTGAGAATAGAAGATAATGTTAGAGATTAGGGATTAGTTTATTTCTCCATCCTTAAGCCAAATAGTGGTGTTTTACCCCTGAGCTATGCCTAAGTGGTTGCCAGTCTTTTCCGCATGGTCTTGCTCTTGACTGCTTTTCATTGCTTCCACTTCAGTGTGCTCCAGGGAAGGAAACGAGGACAGGTGGAGAATTAGATTGAGATTTAAATCCCAATGTTATAATTTACCTGCTTAATAATCTTCGACAAATAATATGGCCCCAATGGGCCTTTGTTACTTCCTAGAATAAATGTGAGGATTAAGTGGGATCTCATAATCTGCCTCACTGGCTTGGGATGTAAAGTTGGTCATGCTTTTTAAAATTTTCTAATTAATCATTTGAATCTCTACTTACCAATAAGGGCAGGAAGTCTGCGATCCTGTATTTGAAATCTTCTTTACAAATTGACCGAGAACCCTAAGTGCTTACTCTTCCCAGGAAAATCTCCTTCCCATCTCCACTGGGGAGAAACTTGGAAAAGCCTGACCAGCCCGCTGGTAGGCCCTGGGATCACTGCGGTTGTTTCTGTTGGGACCTTTTGATGCATTGGCCCCACCCAGTCCAGTGGGCCTTTATCCATTGCCACCCTGTCCCTTCCGGTCCAGTCCTGGCACACAACATGGCGGTGTCCAAGCCTGGGCTCTCAAGATGACTTCTCTTCAGGTCATATCCATATACTTAGTCATTGTGTCCTGTGGCATCTGTCCAGGGTGACTGGACACAGAGGAACCTGTCATCAGGCAAGAAACCCCTGTCTTTCCTGGTGTGTGTTAGGACCAGCTGACCTCAGTCGGAAACATCCTAATTCTTTTGAGAAATTCTGATAACACTACTTTTTTTTTTTTTTTTTTTTTTTGAGACGGAGTCTCGCTCTGTCGTGCAGGCTGCCAGGCTGAAGTTTGGTGGCATAATCTCCGCTCACTGCAAGCTCCACCTCCCTGGTTCATGCCATTCTGCCACCTCAGCCTCCTGAGTAGCTGGAATTACAGGTGCCCGCCACCACACCTGGCTAATTTTTTTGTATTTTTAGTAGAGAATGGGTTTCACCGTGTTAGCCAGGATGGTCTCGATCTCCTGACCTCGTGATCCACCTGCCTCAGCCTCCCAAAGTGCTGGGATTACAGGCATGAGACACTGCGCCCGGCCAACACTACATTTTAAAAGAGAAGTGGCCAAGGTCACCTTTCTCCCTCTCCCAGGAGGCTCCTTAAGGCTGCTATGCATATTTAGCCCCCTCCCCTCTATCAGCACTGAGTACCCAGCAATCACAAAAGTTCCCGTCACACCATTCTCATCAGAAATGGGGGTGCTTATACCATCCTTATCAGGAATGGAGGTGCTTATACAAAACTTAAATTTGTATAACTAAAAAGGGCGATTCAAGTGACTCTTCCTGGGAACAAAGAAGGTTGACACTTTGGGAGGCTGAGGCGGGCAGATCACGAGGTCAGGAGATCGAGACCATCCTGGCTAACACTGAAACCCCGTCTCTACTAAAAATACAAAAAATTAGCCAGGCATGGTGGTGGTCGCCTGTAGTCCCAGCTACTCAGAAGGCTGAGGCAGGAGAATGGCATGAACCCGGGAGGCAGAGCTTGCAGTCAGCCGAGATCGCGCCACTCCACTGCACTCCAGCCTGGGCGACAGTAGGAGACTCCATCTCAAAAAAAAAAAAAAAAAAAAAAAGAAGGTTGACTAAGGGGCTTTTGGACATTATCTAGGCAGACACCCCTGACCCCTTCTCTTGCTAAATAAGTAAATAAAGTTCTGCTTCACCAGACATAGCCACATATGTGTAAAGCACCTAGCCACCTGTATTGGTCTGTTTTTACGCTGCTAATAAAGACATACCCAAGACTGGGTAATTTATAAAGGAAAAAGGTTTAATTGACTCACAGTTCCACATGGCTGGGGAGGCCTCACAATCATGGCAGAGGGGGAAGGGGAAGCAAGACACGTTTTACATGGTGGCAGAAAAGGCAAGAGCGTGTGTAGGGGAACTCCCCTTTATCAAACCATCAGAACTTGAGAGACTTATTCACTATCATGAGAACAGCACGGGAGAAACCCGCCCCCATGATTCAATGACCTTCCACCAGGTTCTTCCCATGACACATGGGAATTATAAGAGCTATAATTCAAGATGAGATTTGGGTGCGGGGGAAACACAGCCAAACCATATCACCACCTCTGTCACCCCTGAGAAGTGCTCAGAAAATGTTAGCTGTCTCCCTCCTCCCTTCCTCCTCAGCCTGACCACACCTCTGCATCATTCAAGCTGGGAACACCTTGCCTTCCAGAGACCTTTCCCGTTCCTCAGTGTCCATTCTCTGCAGGGCTCTGCGTAAATACGCCCTGTGCTGACTGACCCCTTATACGCAACCTCCAGGGAGGCTGGATGGCCAGAGCTGCCTTCAGGGTTTGTTTGCCAAAGGCAGTTTATTCTTTCTTCAAATAGTTAGAATTTACTTCACATTTGAATCTAACTTGTATTTTTATACAGTCAGCATGTCCTGAGCATTCTGTCATGGAGAAGAATTTGCTCATCCATGAATAAACAATGCATAGCTAGTATCCCTCTTGAGACAGGTAGAGGCGTTTATGAAGTGTGCCTTGTTACTAGCCTGTGCCCCACAAATAAACTTTCTGCTGTGAGAAGGGGTGTGGCACCTGCTTTTTCAGAGGTTTAGTTTCACAGAACCATACAGTCCTTGGGTTTTGCCAGCAGTGCCTGCTTAGAATGCACAGAGGGGCCCTGGGCACTGTGGTCAGAGGCTGTCCTCAGACCCCATCTCCATTTCAGACCAAGCTCTTTACCACATCCCCTTGCAGGATTCCCAGATGTCCCTAGGAGGCCAGGGGTATGTATCTCAAAGTAGACTCTTATCTCCAAAAGCAAGTGAGAGCTCCCTTGAATTATTTTGGGTGAAGGAATTAGTTTTCACATGTTTCATGAGACATAATTAGGTGCCTAATACCATATTATTCTCACAGGTGTTTAATTATTGACTTTAGACACAAATTCTAATAGAACTAGAAGAAAAACTGAGACAAATTCTGAAGCTCCTTGAAATTATTCTTAGTCCCTCCTGACATTTCCTCCACCGGCGTTTTTTTTCTTTTTGCTCTATTTCCAGCAGACACGCTTTGCTAATGCTACAAGGTGTGGCTTTGGCTTTGTTGTTTTTTCCGGAGTTAGCTTTTCTGTCTGTGCATCCTGGCTCTTTGAAATCCCAACTGAATTTGGAGAAATTATTTCTTGGCATCCACCCTACTTTCCAGGGACACAATGTGATGCTGACGACATAGCCCGGTCACTCCACTTGACAACAAGTTTGTTTGTCTCATCTCACATACATATTCAGTGGTGAGTAAGAACAGAAGTGGAAAGCCTTACTTACCACAGTTTATTATATGTTTCATGCCTGTGATAATTACTTTTATAATGCCACTTGTGAAAAAATTGATCAGATTAGGATGAATCACCTTGCTGGCCAACAGTTATTGGAATGATTCTCCATGTGTGACTTCGTTGCACTATTACAAAATGTGGCAGGATAGACCTGCCCAGCCATTGTTGCCGATGTTCATTTGTAATGCTGCCTTAAGGAGATGAGGAGATGAGAGCCAATTGTTCCAGCAGCTCAGCCTGCCCTGCCAACAGTTCAGAGGAGGAGCTGCCAGTGGGACTGGAGGTGCATGGAAACCTGGAGCTCGTTTTCACAGTGGTGTCCACTGTGATGATGGGGCTGCTCATGTTCTCTTTGGGATGTTCCGTGGAGATCCGGAAGCTGTGGTCGCACATCAGGAGACCCTGGGGCATTGCTGTGGGACTGCTCTGCCAGTTTGGGCTCATGCCTTTTACAGCTTATCTCCTGGCCATTAGCTTTTCTCTGAAGCCAGTCCAAGCTATTGCTGTTCTCATCATGGGCTGCTGCCCGGGGGGCACCATCTCTAACATTTTCACCTTCTGGGTTGATGGAGATATGGATCTCAGGTAAGTAACCCCAGGGAAGCTCAGCAGTCTGTCTCTTATCCTGCCTAGGGGGAATAACTGAAACTCTTGTGTTAAACACTCTTCTAATCTTTTGGTAGAGATTCTAGTGGGAAATGTTACAAATATCACAGAGACTTGTTCAGCCATGGGTGGGCTTTCCTTTCAGTGCTCAAAAGTTACTTTGCTGATGATCATTTTCTTTATTGGCTACTGTTCTGAGCAGTGGGATGCGTTCTGAGCAGTGGAGGCAGGTCTGCACCTCACCCAGTGGCCCTTCCTAAGCTTGAGCTCATTCTTACCTACACTGGCCTCTTTAGCAACTCCTAGGACTTAAACCAAGAATCCCAAGAAGCTAACGATTGTGGTTTGGTAGCAGCCGTCGTGGTTGTGTCAGTGGCATAGTCAGAATGAGACTCCCGTAGCTCCAGTCAGTGATGCCTGAGCACCTACTTTAGGAAAGAAGCACTTTAGAGGACTGGATAAAGGAGCTTTAGGGGTGTCTGGTGGCCATATCCAGCTTTAAGTGCTGAGATGGCTTGTCGATTTGACTTCAGGAGCAATGCGAAGGCTCTCAGGACTAAAATTGTTCTTTCTTGTTGCTTTGCAGATCGTTAACATCATCACTAGATTCGCATTCCTTCCCTTTAAGCCAGTGACCTTATTCCCAATTATGGTGTAGATAAATACCTCTGGGAGACATTAAGCCTTGTCCCTTATTTACACTTTAATGAGGATGAATTAGTCACATGCTTTTCTGGATTACATGTTTTGATGGGGGAAAAAAAGAGCATTTGAGGAAAGAGTAGAGGGATAGCACTGGAAAAAGAGCTAAAAACAATGGTCTCTCGAGACTCTTTGCTTACTTGTGAACATGCCGTTTCACTTCCTGCCCTGGGGAAGAACTGCTTATAAATTTAAGTATTTGTTTCATGTGTATGTCATTTAGTTGAGATTCACTTTACCATGAATGAATGAATCAGAGGTAATGACTGAGCTGGGAGTTGACATCAGTGAGAGTCAGCTGCAGGTATGTGTTTCCAGTTTTCCGCTTGTGCTGAATGTTTAGCGTATGGAACATATTTCACCTATAAATTTTAATGGGCTCATACCATGCAGAATAGGAACTAACTTTCCCAAGGCAGTGTTTTTGTTTACCCACTTATGAGAGATTTGAAAAAAAAATAACTTGATGAATTTTGTGTTTTACCTTAATGGTAAAAGCCACTCATATACAAAGCCACTAATATACACTGCTTTTGTGTTTTACCTTAATGGTAAAAGCCATTAATATACATTGCTAATTCAAATTCAGTAAAGTTGATTATTTAACTGGGAAATGATAGATATTCTTTGCATGAAGTTCATAAATCAGAGATAAATTCCAGGACCTAAAAGTTTTTGGAAAGAAAAAGGAAACTAATATTTATTAAGTGCCCCATAGGCATGGGATAGATGCTTTCATGCTTATTTTCTTCTTGGGGCTCATAATAACCTTGTAAATGGCCTTTTATTGTTCTGAATTTTACAGCTGAGAAAATTGTGATTCAGATTGGTTAAGTAGCTTGCCAAATGCTACAAACCAGTATGGCAGAACTCAGATTTGAATTCTCATCTGTTTTACATCAGTCTGCAGTTTAGGCACATTTCCCCCATGGCATTTAGCAACACAACTAGATCTTCTGTTTTGAATAGCAGCATAAATCTTCAGTGTTCTCAAACACTTGTGTTCTGGGAAAGAGAACATTTATTACCTTAATCTCTTATTAGTCAATGTTGTCATAAAAACACCAATGAACAGGAAACCTATGAAAGATAAAGCTACTTTTACTTTCTTTTGCCAACTCTTATCTTTAATTCACCTTTAACTTTGTTCAAATTATTTAACCTATCTAAGCCTTATCTCATCATTGGCAAAATGGGGTTAAATTTACCTATTTCTCACAAGACTGTATATATATGTATATATATGTACACACACTCAAACACACACACACATATATAGATAATAGTTTGGGGTGGAGTTTCACTCTTGTCGCCCAGGCTGGAGTGCAATGGTGCGATCTCGGCTCGCTGCAACCTCCACCTCCTGGGTTCAAGTGATTCTCCTGCCTCAGCCTCCTGAGTAGCTGGGAATACAGGTACCCGTACCCACCACCGTGCCTGGCTAATTTTTGTATTTTTAGTAGAGATGGGGTTTCGCCATGTTGGCCAGGCTGTTCTCAAACTCCTGCCGTCAGGTGATCCTCTTGTCTCGGCCTCCCAAAGTGCTGGGATTACAGGCGTGAGCCACGGCGCCTGGCTGACACAAGACTATATTTATGGAGGAAATATATATTTGTGTGTGTGTGTGTATTCAGAGTGCCAGGTACATAGTAGTTGTGCAATAAATATTAGCTACTTTTCCTCTTTTCTTTCTAAATTTTGATTTTGAGTCTTACCAACAAAACTAAAAAAACAAGCAAAAACTAAATATTAGATTTTTAGAAGCTTATAGGTACAAAAGTAATAAAATCAATTTTCAGTAGAAACTCAAATAGGTGAAAATCAAGTACGGTGTGAAACAATATCTAAGTAATTACATTTCTTCATAATTGAATACCAACAAAAAATCAGTTTTAAGCAAAACTCAGTGGATCGTCATTGATAGGAGTTTTATCTGCTGTTAATGCTGGATAAAATCCAAGAGCGGTTAGCACAACATCTTCATTTGACACACGAGGAAGTGGAGATTTAGCTCCCTGCAGATGACCTTGAGCACGTTTCTCATGCCTTCACTCCTGCTTCATGCAGTGCACTTGCAGTTCTCCATGTGTTCACCCCACACAGGCATTTCAGAATCCATTGGTTGGAACCGGTTTGTGCGTTCTGCAAATGAGATGACTGATGACACCCATCCTCTTGCAGTTGCCTGGGCTTGTCATCTTAGCCTTGCCCTGTGACTACCCTCATTCTCGCCATGGCCACTCAATCCACTGCCAAGCCCTGTAGCCCTTCCTCTTGCTGTGTTGCTCACAGTTCTTGCTTCCTGTTGGTCTCCACTAACACTTCCTCAGGTCAGGCCCTCACAATTTCTTTCTTGGCTAATTGTATTTTCACAACAATGAAAGTGCTGTTCTCTGCACCTTTAGTCTCTCCATTACGGCTTTGCAGTAAGTGGATAAGGCAGGCTCTGATACCAGATTGCCTATATTCAAATCCTGACCTTGGGCCTCTTCTCTGTAACTGGAAATCATAACATTACCCGCATGGTACTGTTAGGAGAAAACGAACATGTTATACATACAAAGGCTTCTCAACACCTACTAAATTGGTAGAAACGACTAAGCCAGTCTACTTTACTTCTCCAGGTTCTTTTATTCCACTAGTCCCCTTAAGAACAATGGTTTTTAGTCAAAATGGGCTGCTCATAGTTCTCTGAGCATATCTCACACTCTTCCAGCTTTCTTTTGCCCATGTTGTTCCCACAGTCTGCAGTGCCAACTGACCTTATTTTGTCTCCTCCAGTCATGATGTTGTTCTTCCTTATAACCATCCTAGAAAGCAGTTGGCTGATATGTATGAAGAGCCTTAAAAATTATCCTGCCTCTGGGCCGAGTTTGGCTGATCATGGCTGGGTTCTTTTACATATTTTGGGGTTGGTTAAATGTAGACTGGTCTTGGGTGGTGATATGGTTTGGCTCTGTGTCCCCACCCAATTCTCATCTCGAATTGTAATTCCCGTGTGTCTAGGGAGGGGCCTGGAATCCCCAAGTGTCAAGGGAGGGAAGTGATCAGGTCATGGGGTTGATTTCCCCCATGCTGTTCTAATGATAGTGAGTGATGGTTTTATAAGTGTTTGGAAGTTCCTCCTTTGTTCTTCTTCTCTCTCTTGCTGCCTTGTGAAGAAGGTCCTTGCTTCCCCTTCACCTTCTGCCATGTTTGTAAGTTTCCTGAGACCTCCCCAACCATGTGGAACTGTGAGTCAATCAAATCCCTTTCCTTTATAAATTACGCAGGCTTGGGTATTTCTTTACAGCAGTGTGAAAATGGACTAATGCAGGTGGCTTCAACCTGGACAACTGGGCTCTCTTACTACATGATCTCTCATTTTCTAGTAGACTAGCCTAGACCTGATTACATGGCAGCAGCAGGGTTCTCAGAAAGGCAAAGCAGAAAAGGTCTTTTGAAGTGTTGGCTTTAAACCAGATCCTCTTCCTTCCACCACATTCCATTGGCCAATGCAGACTGCAAGGCCAGTCCAGCTTCATGGATTAGGAAAGTCGATTTTGCCTCTTGATGGGCTGAACTTCCAAGTCACATTACAGCGGACATGGATAAGGGAGGGGTGAAGAATAGGGGGCATTTTTTTCCCCAATATATCCTACTAGAGATGGACAGAATTCCTACCTTTGAGGGTAGAACATGAAAATTAAGATCTGGCAGTACGGTGTAGTAGTTAAGGGCTCTGGAAACAGCAAGCAGACCCATCACTTACTGACTGGATCATCTCGGCAGATTATGCACATTTTCTATGCTTCAGTTTCCTTACTTCTATTTTTTAATTTTTATTTTGATTTTTTTTGAGACGGAGTCTCGCTCTGTCACCCAGGCTGGAGTGCAGTGGCGTGATCTCGGCTCACTGCAAGCTCTGCCTCCCAGGTTCACACCATTCTCCTGCCTCAGCCTCCCGAGTAGCTGGGACTACAGGCGCCTGCCACCACACCTGGCTGATTTTTTGTATTTTTAGTAGAGATGGGGTTTCGCCATGTTAGCCAGGATGGTCTTGATCTCCTGACCTCATGATCCGCCCACCTCAGCCTCCCAAAGTGCTGGGATTACCGGTGTGAGCCACCGAGCCCGGCCAGTTTCCTCACTTCTAAAATGAGAAGCATTCCTACATCGTGAGCTGTTGAGAGGATTGAATGAGTTAATATTTCTAAAGTGCTTAGAATCTCACTTGGCATAAAATGTGATATGAACTATTATTATTATTATATAAGGCAGGCAAAAGAACATCGTGTCCTGGGTCTGTGTTTTAGTCCCTGCTCAAGGAGCTGCATGCCTAACCCTAACCCTGTATATAATGATATATCATAATATATATGTGTCATGTTTTATCTATTCATCCATCAACGGACAATTGAATTATTTCCACTTTTTGGCAATTGTGAATAATACTGTTGAGTCTCAGCTTTCATTTCCCTTGAGTGTATGCTTAGGAGTGGATCTGAGGTTAAATATTAAGTATTTTGTGACTATAGGAAAAGCAAAGCAAAATATGAAGTCCAAATGTCCCCCTTCCTCTACCGTAGTTTCTCCTGAAACTACTGCCCAGAAATGTTTCTCTTGTCTGTCCCCATAATCCGAATTATGTAACTCTTCCTTATCATCTGTTGGAAAGCATTGCAATAGCTGGGCTACTTGTCTGCCTCACCTACTATATCTGTAAGCTCCTGGAAGGCTTGCTCATCTTTGCTTGCACAGTACCAGCCAGGTAGTGGTAGGCACTCGGTAAACATGAGTGAATGAGTGAATGACAGTTTCCGATTGCCTGTGTGTATTACAAAAACAACCCTCAAAAGAGGTCCAGGCCAGGCGTGGTGGCTCACACCTGTAATCCCAGCACTTTGGGAGGCTGAGATGGGCAGATCACTTGAGGTCAGGAGTTCGAGACCAGCCTGGCCAACATGGCAAAACCCCATCTCTACTAAAAATACAAAATTAGCCAGGTGTGGTGATGCATGCCTGTAATGCCAGCTACTCAGGAGACTGAGGCAGGAGAAATGCTTGGACCCAGGAGGCAGAGGTTGCTGTGAGCCGAGATCACACCACTGCACTCCAGCCTGGGCAAGTGACAGAGCGAGACTCCATCTCAAAAAAAAAAAGAAAGAAAGAAAGAAAGAAAGAAAGAAAGAAAGAAAGAAAGAAAGAAAGAAAGAAAGAAAGAAAGAAAGAAAGAAAGAAAGAAAGAAAAGAGGTGTCCATTTATTGATGCAACTCAGGACAGCTCCCACTGTCTTGTCTTTTCTTTTCTTTTCTTTTCTTTTCTTTTTTTTTTTTTTGAGACAGGGTCTTAGACTCTGTCATCAGACTGGAGTGCAGTGGTACAATCATGGCTCACTGAAGTCTTGGCCTTCTGGGGTCAAGTGATCCTCTCACCTCAGCCTTCTGAGCAGCGCAGCTGGGACTATAGGCATGCGCCATCATACCCAGCTAATTTTTTATTTTTTATTACAGAGATGAGGTCTCACTATGTTGCCCAGGCTGGTCTTGAACTCCTGGGCTCAAGCAATCCTCCCACCTAGGGTTTCCAAAGTGCTGGGATTACAGGTGTGGGCCACTTACGCCTGGCCTCCCACTATCTTTGTTTGAGAACTTTTGATATATACAAGAGGTCCATTCTTCCGTAAGGATGTATTTATGTCCTCAGCTGCAGACAAAGGATTCTGACCACTGGTGGTGTTGGAGCCTGTGGAGCTCAGTGGCCAACTTTGACCTTTGAACTTTAAAGAAGTTCTTAGTCCTTCAGTAGAGAACCTGGAAATAGAACTTCAAATTGTTCAGGTCTATCTGACATGTCTTGGTGGAAAACTGAAGGTCCTTTGCATTTAAGGCTTTGGAGACAGAACGGAGACTGAATTCATGAGACTTCATGCAAGCTTCCATGTCTCTATGTACTTTAATTTCCTTATCTATACAATGAAAATAATACTCACACATAGAGTTATTATGTAGATGAAAAGAGAAAATGTATATAAAAGCATGAGACATAACACCTAGCACATAGTGCTCAATAAATACTCATTATTATTGGAAGGCAGCAGACAAGGGTAACATTTATATTGAGGGATGGAAAATCGGGCCTTACGCTCTATTCTAGGGTCAAATCTGTTGGTATGATCTTATAGCTCACTCCGTGTCCATCTGGTTAGCTGGATAATTTTTTATTTCTTTCAGTCGGAAAGCAAGTGTATACTTTCATAGTTTTGAGGGTCAGAGTTCCTGATTTTATGGGATTTTTGAAATTAAAACAATTTATAATAACTTAATCTCCAATTGCAAAATGTTATTGACACTGCATTTTAATGTAATGTGTATATATGTAATTTCCCTGCTTTAAGGGAGGGTTCAAGACTGACCTGTTTGTCTAGACTTGCTGAATATGTCTCATTATTTTCTGTAATAGTTTGGAGATGATGATGCTATTCTTCTCAATGCAAGTGGAATCTTGTTATACTGAAGTTAGATTTTGCCAAAAATTTTCCTATACATGAAAAGTCAAGAGACTTACTTAGCCACATCCTCTGTTTATGCTACATTGGAATTTCATGGCTAAAAATACAAGGCGTGACTTTCCACTGTACTCACAGGCATTCACTGTGTGCTTTTCCACCTTTGCTGGTATTTGTAACAGTTGGCAGAGCACCAGGATAACCTCTTGCCATCCTTGACCAATATCATGATCACCATGGGCTTGAAAATTGTATAAACATGGAAGCAATCACATAGGTAATCAAGGATATAGAATCAGTCGGATATAAATCTCACTTTGCTTCCCATAATCATGAGTCTTACCTTTCTGCTGTTTGAGCCAAAGCCATTCAGTAGAGAAATGTTGTGCTGGTTCTCCAGAAGTTCAAGAGTAAAGTGATATAATATGGAATTCCATTCAGGACTTAGTAATATGGAGAGTCAAGGAATGTAGCACTATCATAGACTAAGAATTTGGAAAAAACTTTCTAAACAGCCTCTTTGTGGATACAGAGGTTTGAGAGCTGTGGCAAACTGCTTTTTTTCTTTTAAATTGCCTACTAGTCAGGAAGAAATCTTTGCTTAAAGTAAGCATTCTTAATAGGATAAAATAATTTTGGGTTTCATATGGAATAAAATATAAGCAAGAACTGCTAAGACAAGTTTGAAAAGGGAAATTTATGTGGAGGTATTTGCCCTACCATATATGAGAACACTGTAATTAGTCTAGTATTTGTTCAGGAAAAAAGAAAGTTATTTATCAATGAGCTAGAAGAGAATTTCCAGAAAATATTTTGTGTACACTTGGGCATTTAATAAATGATAAAGGTGACACTTCAGTATAGTGGAAAATGGTTTATTTTAGTAGATTATATTGACACACTTGCATCTCAATATATTAATAGAAAAAATGGATTAGTCTCATACCTGTTACCATGCAAAATATAAATTTTAAGTCAGTTGAAAATATAAGCATAAAAGTAAAAAGTAGAAGACAATATTTGAATGCCCTCGGATCAGGGTAGGTCTTTAAGATAAGAAACTCAGAAGCCATTAAAAAAACAGCTCTGACTATATAAATGTTAATTATGGCAAGTCATAAGCAAAGTCAAAGATATACACCATGCTTGGAAAAAATACTTGTATTATTCATGGTAATATGAGCCCTAATTTTAAAAGAACTCCTACAAGTTGAGAAGAAGTCTGACAAGCAAGATTGTTTAGAGAGGAGGACACAGAAGAAGCCACTTGACATGAAAGAAAGCACAACCTGATAGAATCCAGAGTGTCGGCTGGGTGCAGTGGCTCACGCCTGTAATCCCAACACTTTGGGAGGCCAAGGTGGGTGGATCACCTGAGGTCCGGAGTTCGAGACCAGCTTGGCCAACATGGTAAAACCCATCTCTACTAAAAATTAAAAAAAAAAAAAAAATTAGCCTGGTGTGGTGGCGGGTACCTGTAATCCCACCTATTCCAGAGGCTGGGGCAGAGAGAATTGCTTGAACCTGGGAGGCGGAGCTTGCAGTGAGTCAAGATCAGGCCACTGCACTCCAGACTGGGTGACAGAGTGAGCTCCAGCTAAAAAAAAAAAATAAAAAAAAAAAATAAGAGTGTAACAAGAGTGAGATCAATTTTTCAATGCTGGCATGACAATTAGAAGGGACTGATCACATCCGGAGTAGGCAAGATTGTGAAATGTAGCAATCTTTTTGGAAAGTAGTCTGAAAGTATATATTAAAACAAAAAACACAGACTTTTACATAGCAATTCCACCTTGGGAATTCACAGAAAGAAAAGAATCATTTCAAGTGAAGTATGTATGAGAGTGTTTATTATAACATTATTTATAATGGCAAAAAACTAAAAGCAACTGACCTATGGTTAATGAAGTGATTGAAGAAATTATGGCATATTTAGATTATGGCATATTTCGCAGTTCTTTAAAAGAATAAGTTTAAATGTATTGGTCTGAGAGGATGTCTGTGATAGATGAAGTGGGAAAAAAAGCAAACAAGTTGCAGAGTAAGGTATATTATAAGGTTCCTTTTTTTATTTTTAGAGACAGGGCCTCCTTCTGTCCCCAAAGCTGGAGTGTTGTGGTGTGAGCATAGCTCACTGCAGCCTCAAACTCCTGAGCTCAAGCCATCCTCCTGCCTCAGCCTCCCGAGTAGCTGGGACTACAGGTGTGTACCACCACATTCAGCTAATTTTTGTACTTTTTTTTTTTTTTTTTTTGTAGAGACCAGGGTCTCTCTATGTTGCTCAGGCTGTTGTTAAACTCCTGGTCTTAAGCAATCCTCCCAATTCAGCCTCCCAAATTGCTGGAATTACAGGCATGAGGCACTGCACCTGGTCTGATTCCTTTAAAAAGAAAAAATAATGAAAGAAAAAAATCCTATTGATTTAACAAACAATCATGAAATAAATGGACTGCTTAAAAGAAAAATAAAAGAGTAGAAGGATGTACACAAATACTTGCAAGTTATCTAAGTTTGGATTTCTGAAAGGAGCACCAATCAGCTAAATATTTGCTTCTTAAAATTTTACTTGCTTTTGTCTGGGAAGAGCATAATTTTTTTTTTTTTTTTTTTTTTTTGAGACACTGTCACCCAGGCTGGAGTGCAATGGCATGATCTCGGCTCACTGCAACCTCCATCTCCCAGGCTCAAGCAATTCTCCTGCCTCAGCCTCCCGAGTAGCTGGGATTACAGGCGTGTGCCACCATGCCCGGCTAATTTTTGTATTTTTTTTAGAGATGGGGTTTCACCATGTTGGCCAAGCTGGTCTCGAACTCCTGACCTCAGGTAATCTGCACGCCTTGGCCTCCCAAAGTGCTGGGATTACAGGCATGAGCCACCATGCCCTGCTGGGAGAGCATAATTTTATAGAAAGTCTCTTTTTCTGGATTGCTATGGGGCTGTTTACCATTTGAACTAAGTATAAAGGGGTCATTTCAGTAAGATTTTTACCAATGTTCACCTGGAGATACGTGACATATGACGGAGACAGAGAGAATATTTCCATAGCACCAGTGTGTTGACATTGGTTCATTCTTTGATTCATACATTTATTCAGTAAGTATTTAACGAGCTCTTCCAATATGCTGCAGCGTGAGACTATGCCAGGTCTCCTAGAGATGGAGAGGAAAATAGGACCTGGCTGTCATGCCACTCACTCTGGCACAGATGGACAGGTACATAAGTACTTGTGTAGGGTACAGCATGTGTATAATTCATGAGCCAATGTCAATAAAACCATGTCCAGAGGGCCATGGATTCAGAATCCTAGAAGCAGGATCGCTAATTTTCCTAGATATTGCCAGACACCCTCTGTGGTGTACCATTTTTACCAGCAATGAGTGAGAGCACAGAGGGAATCTTTTTAGTATCATTGAAGTAAAACAGATGCTGCTTTGTCAAGAGTATAAACATTCTTCTGGCAGAAAATGTTAAAGTAGTCATAGACGTATTATTTTATAGACAGGGTAATTGGATGGAAGCAATGGTGATATATATTAGGAGGAAGAGTGACAGATGACTTGTAGACCCAATAAAGTGCTGAAGGACCTTCTGTCTATGCAGAAGACCTTGACGTATGAAGGGCCTCCTCCCTCTCCTTTGTAGAGCAGGAGGGCAGTCTGCTTCTCAGTCTGTCAGTCATTTGTGCCTTGAGCACAGAATGAGCACAGTGTCTATAAACAGTTTGTACATGCTTAAACAGATTGTGTAATTTTTTCCAGCAAATTGAAAGATAAAATATTTGACTGGTCTGATGGGTATCTTCTTTCCATTTATTTTCTTTCCCCTAATTTTACTAATGCATTCTTTCACTGGTTCTATCACTCAGGTAGGTACAAAATACAGCCTTAACTTGCGATTTGGGAGTGAGACTGAGATGGAAAGAATAGATTTGGGATGGAAGGCACCAAAAAGTGGGGTAAGGTTGAATATTTCTTCAGTTCTCATCCTCCCTGATTTTTATTGGCTTTTAGCCTTCATTTGGGAGCTTTCTTTTCTTAGCTTTCATGAAATATAACCTCCCAGCTCTCCACTGACTTCTTTTTTAAATTTTATTTTTAATTGACAAGTTAAATTATGTATATTTATGGTGTACAACATGATGTTTTGCTTACTTGCTTCTCAAATCCCAGCCTGCCTGCCTGCCTTCCTTCCTTCCTTCCTTCCTTCCTTCCTTCCTTCCTTCCTTCCTTCCTTCCTTTCTTTTTCTTTCTTTCTTTCTTTCTTTCTTTCTTTCTTTCTTTCTTTCTTTCTTTCTTTCTTTCTCTCTCTCTCTCTCTCTCTCTCTCTACATGCACCATGGGCTCTTCTTCCTCTCCCTGGTTTAGAGCAAAGGAGGCTTTACAATATATAAAATATTAACTATCAGTTAATGTAACTAAGTGCTTTTCCCTAAATAAATTTAGACCAAAAATATATATGGAAAATACAAAAACACAGTATATTATGGCCGGGCGTGGTGGCTCATGCACTTTAGGAGGCCGAGGCGGGTGGATCACCTGAGGTTAGGAGTTCGAGACAGCCTGGCCAACATGGTGAAATCCCATCTCTACTAAAAATACAAAAATTACCTGGGTGTGGTGGTGGGCATCTGTAATCCCAGCTACTCAGGAGGCTGAGGCAGGAGAATCACTTGAACCCAGGAGGTGGAGGTTGCAGTGAGCCGAGATTGCGCCACTGCACTCCAGCCTGGGCGACAGAGTGGGACTCCATTTCAAAAAACAAAACAAAACAAAACCCCAAAAAATCTGCAACAAATTACAAATGTGTGAAGCAGTAACTTAGTTCATATAATGTAATAACAATATAGTAATTGTCTTAGTCCATTTTGTGCTGCTGTACAGGATACCTGAGACTGGTTAATGTATAGAGAAGAGAAATTATTCCCTTACATTCTGGAGGCTGGGAAGTCTAAGATGAAGGTGCTGGCATCTATTGTCTGGTGAGGTCCTTCTTGCTCCTCACGTGGTGGAAGAGAGAAGGGCAAAAAGGAACAAACTTCCTTGGTGGAGTCCTCTTAAAATAGCATTAATTCATTCATGAAGGTGGATTCATTGTGACCTAAACACCTCCCAGAAAGCTCCACCTCTCAATACTGTTGTCTTAGGGATTTGATTTCCAACCTATGAATTTTGGAGGACACATTCAGACCATAGCAGTAATCACGATACACAGTTTTTGAGGACTTCAAACCAAGTACTCTTCCCCCTCTGTCACAGACATTATGTACTTAAAAGTTCTTAAGAACCATTGCGCTTAAAATGTGTTAGCCTTTTGACTTAGAAACAATTAACCTCAATAATAACAGAGATAAACAAACCAGTTTTCCAGTAGAAATCATTCTGGATTTGTTGAACAAAGACCACAACTTCCTTCTGATGGTCTCAGTTGTTTTCCTGGTAAAGCTATGTAGCATGGCTGTTGGTTTTGGTTTGGTTCGTCCGGCTCACAAACCCACATTTCACTTTCCAAGGTGGCCAGAGACAACCCCAGTAATGACACAGATAAACAGACTGATTGTCTTTAGAAATCTTTCCAGGTTTGTTCACCAAAGACTGGATGTCCCACTATCACCTTACTTAACACAACCCCTCTAACTGATGCTAAGTGACTCAGCTTTTTTGTATATCACACCATCATTTTGAAGCCTAGAAATCTTACTTTGTACTCTAACTCATCACTCTACTTCAATCTCAAATCTCAGTCCCTTCCTTTTCTTTTCTTTTCTTTCTCTCTCTCTCTCTCTTTCTTTCTTTCTTTCTTCTCCTTTTCTTTCTTTTCTTCTTTTCTTGTGTCTTTTCGTCTTTCTGTCTTTCTTTTTTTTTGAGATGGAGTTTCACTTTGTTGCCCAGGCTGGAGTGCAGTGGCATGATCGTGGCTCACTGCAACCTCCGCCTCCTGGGTCCAAGTGATTCTCCTGCCTTAGCCTACCAAGTAGCTGGGATTACAGGCACCTGCCACCACACCCAGCTAATTTTTGTATTGTTAGTAGAGACAGGGTTTCACCATGTTGGCCAGGCTGGTCTCGAACTTCTGACCTCAGGTCATCTGCCCGCCTTGGCCTCCCAAAGTGCTGGGATTACAGGCATGAGCCACCATGCTTGGCCCAATCACAGTTTCTAATCATAGGATCACACGATATCAGGATTGGAACAGAATTCTTAATTCAGTCTAGCATCTCACATCAGTTCCCTTTCTCTGTGGTTCTGTACCTTCCCTTGCCCTAACCAACTTGCTCTGTCTGCAGGTCAGCGACTGTGGGGGTCACTGCCCTATCCAATGGGGAGCTTATGGCATGTGGTGTTTGCGTGACTTCTTCCTGACAGATATTTATTAACACTTCATACTGGGCAGGCGTTCAGTCAGCTTTGTGGCATTCTAACTTGCTGATGTGGTTTGGGTGTTTGTCCTCTCCACATCTCATGTTGAAATGTGATTCCAGTATTGGAGGTGGGGCCTGGTGGGAGGCTATTGGATCATGGGGTGGATCTCTCATGAATGGTTAATGCCATCTCCTTGGTGATAAGTGAGTTCTTGCTTAGTTAGTTCACATGAGATCTGGTTGTTTAAAAGTCTGGGACCTCCCCTTTCTCACTCTCCCTTGCTCCCTCTCTGGCCATGTGAGATACCTGCTCCCCCTTCCCCTTTGCCTTCTACCATGATTGCGAACTTCCTGAGGTCCTTACCAGGAGCACATGCTGGAACCATGCTTGTACAGCCTGCAGAACTATGAATCTCCTTTATAAATTACCCAGCCTCAGGTATTTCTTTATGGCCATGCAAACAGCCTAATACACTTCCAATCCCCTTGGTACCAGAACTAGATATCACAAGAAAAGAAAACTGCAGATCAATAGTTCTTATGAATATACATGCAAAAATTTTCAATAAAAATACTATCACACTGAATCTAGCAACATAAAGGATTATACACCATGACCAAATATGATTTATTTCAAAATGCAAGGTTGATTCAATATACAGAAAAATCAATGTGATATACTATATTAATAGAATAAGGACATAAAAAGAATGAAGCTGTGATATATGTTAAAACATGGATAAACCTTGTCTTAGCCCATGTGAGTTGCCATGAAGGAATACCTGAGGGTAGGTAATTTCTAAATAAAACAGGTTTATTTGGCTCGAGGGTCTGCAGGCTGTACACAAGAAGCAAAGTGCCAGCATCTGCATCTGGTGAGGGCCTCATGAAGACCCCACCCATGGTGGAAGGGGAAGAGGAGCAGGCATCACATGGTAAGAGAGGGGAGGGAGGTGTCAGACTCTTTTTAACAACTAGAGCTCATAAGAACTGAGTGAGAACTCAGTGAATCCCACGAGAATGGCACCAGCCTGTTCATGAGGGATCTGCCCCTGTGACCGAAATATTTCCCACTTGCCCCCGCCTCCAACGTTGGGAATCAAATTTCAACATGAGAGTTGGAGAGGACAAACAGCCAAACTATTATCAAACGTCGAAAATGTTATGCTAAGGGAAAGAAGCTAGACACAGAAAAAAGGCTGCATGTATGATTCTGTTGATATGAAATGTCCAGAACAGGTAATCCTATAAAGACGGAAAGTAGATTTGTGCTTGCTAAGGGCTAGGGGAAGGAGGGATTGGGGAGTGACTGCTAATGGGGATGGGGTTTCTTTCTGGGGTGATGAAACTATCCTGGAAATGGTGCTATTATTGCATAATGTTGTGACTATACTAAAAACTGCTGAATTGTATAATTTAAAATGATGAATTTTATGGCTTGTGGATTATACTTCAATAAAAAAGAACTAGATAAGAAAATAATTCTATAGTGCCTAGCAGAATTTTAAGGCAAGTAGATAGTAAAATAAATATGAGGTAATTGATGGATGACAAGAACTACTGGAAATCTCTTTGTAGACCAGAAATATAGCCATCGTTTGTTAAACAACGGGAGAGAAATGAGCTCCAAGGAGCTTAGTCCATGTAATCTCTAGGAAATTGTGTCCTAGGAGTTGCTTTTGGTAAAGACTAAATTCTTCATGTCCAATGCTCCCTCCTAAGCATTGTATTAATTTTACTTTCAGCATCAGTATGACAACCTGTTCCACCGTGGCCGCCCTGGGAATGATGCCACTCTGCATTTATCTCTACACCTGGTCCTGGAGTCTTCAGCAGAATCTCACCATTCCTTATCAGAACATAGGTCTGTATGGGCCTGGGAAATGGAGGACTAACAGTAATGGTGATGATACTAATAATAGCTGTTCTTAATTATATAACTCTTTATGCAGGGATTTTTTTGGTAGTACTTAATTTAATCCCTTAAAGAACCCTACAGTATAGATTCTGTTACCAGTTCAGTCTCCTAGGTCTTCAGGCTTCAAGAGGTTTAGTAACTTGATCAAGATTATGCAGCTGGTAAGTACGGAACTGGAGTTCTAACCCGGGAATCTGACTACAAAGTGCAAACTTTCATCCCTATAAGAGTGCATTTTTGAAAAAAAAAGAAAGCCAGATAATTTACTTTGAAAAAGCAGGAATCAAACCCTTATGTAATTAGACTATAAAGCAATTGGACTCTTTATACTCCAAGGTTTAACTGGATCTAGTGGCTCTAATTAGACCTTCCTGTGACTTCACCTTTCACATTGCCTGCGAACCTTGACTTTTTCTTGGAGGTTGAATGTAAATAATTCTTACTGATTATGAAAACTCATCTACATGTCACAGTCTCACCCATATCTCTTTCATTATCTCCTCTTCTGAATATTATTTCTCATGAAAGTCTGCCATTTTCCTAAAGATCTCTGTGGGTTTAGCAAGCTTAGAAGAGAAATGTGGTGAAATGATCTGCCTTTTCTAGTGTGGTCAGTTTTTGAAAAAGTGATAGGCACTATGTTTTTTTGTTTTTTTTTTTTGAGACAGAGTTTTGCTCTGTCACTCAGGCTGGAGTGCAGTCGTGCAATCTCGGCTCACTGCAACTTCTGCCTTCTCCTGCCTCAGCCTTCCGAGTAGCTGGTACTACAGGTGCAGGCCACCACACCCGGCTAATTTTTTTGGTATTTTAGGAGAGACAGGGTTTCACCGTGTTGCCCAGGCTGGTCTCAAACTCCTGAGCTCAGGCAGTCCACCCACCTTGGCCTCCCAAAGTGCTAGGATTACAGGTGTAAGCCACCGTGCCTGGCCAACACTATGATTCTTAAGACTCTCAGTGTCAATCTGGTGTCTCAGGTAAACACCTTGAAGGCTTACAACCCATGGCCCATAGTTCAAAACCATGAATGAACCCACTTCCTCACAATAGCGGGAGCCCACTGAATCTGTAAAATTTGAGGGAAACCTTAATTTAGAAACCATGATTTTATGTGCAACTTTTTTTCTGATCAGTAAGTTATTTAATATATTCTGCTTTGATAATATGTTCTGAAAGGCACTCACAAGACGCAAAATGTTATGAGCAGCTTATATAACTTTGGAGCCAATATTGTAGGCATTTATCCAGACTTGGGAAGTGGCATGGGAAAATGTCAGTTTAAAGCTGTTACCTAATTGAAATAGAAGTTGTTGGGAAGTACTGTGCAGTCAGGGTGAGAGGGAAAACCCTCTCATGGATTTTTCTTCTCTTTAGGAATTACCCTTGTGTGCCTGACCATTCCTGTGGCCTTTGGTGTCTATGTGAATTACAGATGGCCAAAACAATCCAAAATCATTCTCAAGGTGAGTGACTTCATGGCCACTGTTGGCACGTCCTCAGACTCAGGGGCCTGAAAGACAGAAGTGAGCAGTGGCTGGGACAAGTGAGCTTGTTGAGTACGGCCCCACACCCAGAAATTCTTCTTACACATCCTGTGGTTTTGGATCCAGGGATCATATTTCCTCCACCCTGTAAGCCTTGCTTTGCCACTCCCATAGTTCTGTACCCTGAGGCTTATGACGCCCTGGAAAATAAGCAACTATTGATTTAGTGTCAGGAAAGCTAAAGCCTGTGTGTGGACAGAAGAGCCCAGGCCCATCCATAAACAAGGCTTCACACAGGTGCTCTTGAGGCAGAAGCTGTTCAAGTGAGCATGAAAGGGAACCCCAGTGTTTAGTAATATGGCTGGTTTCTTGGAAGAGTAGGAGGAAGGGCTGTCTTGCAGAAGCATTCCTGGGGTCACGGCCAAAGCTGTTGTTTGTACACATGAGCAAGGGCTGCTGACTACATGAATAAGACTGTTTAAATGAAATCATCCAGGAAGCACTGAGGAGTCTAGCTATGGAATGATGGTGACTAGAACTTTCTACCTCCTCTTGTCTTTGCAGTCCTGCCCTTTGTCTGCTGGAGAAACAAGCAAATGTCTTTGTTAAATGGCTTTTAAAAATAATTCAAGAGGCCAGGTGCAGTGGCTCACATCTGTAATCCCAGAACTTTGGCAGGCTGAGGTGGGAGGATTGCTTGAGGCCAGGAGGTTGAGGCTACAGTGAGCCATTATCATGCCATTGCACTGGAGCCTGGATCACAGAGTGAGACCCCATCTCTAAAAAATGAAACAAAACAACAAAACGTAAAGAGGAGGCATTCTTAACAATGGTGTGAGTCTCCTAGGGTGCTTTCCATTTTTTTTCTGATTATGTATCACTTTAGCAGATAGAAGGTTGTAATATGTGTGGCTTTCATGAAGATTTTAAAAATGTTTCAGTTATATTTTACATTTATAAAGAAGTAAACATTTGGGGTTATTTAGAGTTTCATGTAGTAAATCTCAGTTAATTTTGTTTTCTGGTTTATGGTTTGGCTTGGTTTAAGCTTTTGCCGTTTGGCTCTACCTCACAGAACATTGCCACTCTATATGCCTGTGCTAATGGACACTGTTTTCCCAGTTATGCACAAGGCCAAACCATTCCCACCATTCCTTCAGTGCGATGGAGAATGAGAGGAGAGGGCTTGCCAAGCAGAAAATCAGCTGGGCACAGAGAGCTGGAGGATGGCTTAGTATAGTACATTTGTATTGCATATGGATGACTTTAACATCAATAGTGCACACCTGATTTTCACTCTCCTTTTTTAGCTGTACTCATGGAATAAAGTCCCATCTTTTCCACATTTATTTTTAAAAATTAATTAAGTTTTTGAGATAGGGTCTCGCTCTGTCACTCAGGCTGGAGTGCAATGACACGATCATAGCTCACTGCAACCTTGATCTCCTAGGCTCAAATGATGCTCCCATCTCAAGCTCTGAGGTAGCTAGCACTACAGGCATGCACCATCCTGCCCTGCTAATAAAAAGATTTTTTTTTTAGAGACAGGGTCTTGCTATGTTACCCAGGCTGGTTTGCAACTCCTGGCCTCAAGGGATCCTCTGGCCTTGGCCTCCCAAAGTGTTGGGATCACAGGCATGAGCCACTGTGCCTGGCCCCTTTTCCACATTTATTATTGTTATTTCAGTAGGAGAAAATTTCCAGTGTGGTAGTTATGATTTTGTTTACAAAACAAGAGGAGGGAAATGATCATGGAAACTTCTTGCTTTTCAAGTACTCTATCTTTGATTATTTTTCTTAAAAGGGCATTTAACAACAATAACAAAAATAATGCTTTTGGAGTTTTCCAGCTCCTCTATCAGTCCATCAGTGTCAATGGAGAAACCAGATACATTTTTTTACATGTCAGTTTTATTTTCTGTAACGAGCAAATTTAAAACTCTTTTCTTTTGGGTATTTCATAGGATTTATGGCAAAACATTTAATAATATGCATAAATATTCTAGACTACCTTAGTAAAAAAAAAAAACTAGGCTAATGTAATCATTATTTTAGTATATCTTCATTCCCTGTTCTTAGTTCCATTTTAATTTTAGATCTGACACATTTTCTGAACAAACTTAAGTGTTCCCCATTTGCTCTTGGTGGATATTAAACTTTGAAATCTTTGGTAGAGAGAGGAAGAGGGGATGTTACATTCAGAGGCCTTAGTTCCATTTTAATTTTAGATCTGACACATTTTCTGAACAAACTTAAGTGTTCCCCATTTGCTCTTGGTGGATATTAAACTTTGAAATCTTTGGTAGAGAGAGGAAGAGGGGATGTTACATTCAGAGGCTTTCTTTCTTTCATTTTTTTTTTAAACGGAGTCTTGCTCTGTCACCCAGGCTGGAGTGCAGTGGCGCAATCTTGGCTCACTGCAACCTCCACCTCCTGGGTTCAAGTAATTCTCCTGCCTCAGCCTCTTGAGTAGCTGGGATTACAGGCATGTGTCACCACGCCTGGCTAATTTTTGTATTTTTTAGTAGAGACAGGATTTTGCCATGTTGGCTGGATGGTCTTGAACTCCTGACCTCAGGTGATCCGCCCACCTCTGCCTCCCAAAGTTCTGGGATTACAGACATGAGCCACCATGCCTGACCAAGAGGCTTTCTTGTCTTAGCATCTTTTTCTTAGGCAGGGGTCTAGTCTGTCTCTGTATTTGAACAGTAAAAATGACCCCCAGAACACATTTATGGTATATTGGGTCATTCTGTTTGTTTGTTGTCTTCTCTAGTTTCCTACGACCATCCTCCTTCACATCCTGAATCATTTCAAATCAAGGTTGACACTGTAACTAGGTACACAGTTTACTGTCTACATGATATGAACAGGAGCTTGCCAAGATCCTGATTTTCCCAAAATACCCTAGGTTATGCTTTCTTCCTATTTTATCTAAATCTCAAACTATTCAAAATTTTGTTATTGTTGGCTTTTGTTTCTGTTCTTGTTAAACAACAAAAGTAAGGACAGTATCCATTTGGGAGAGGATAGAGGTCTCCATCAGTATTTCTCATGTGATCATGAGTATTAGCTCAGATTGTCCAATGAAGAATGGGTAAATTTTATTTGGAGGGGAGAAGGACAGGGATCAAAGCAGCAGGCAGCTGCTGGTGGTTGAAGGGGCGGTGGGAGGGGAGGCAGATGGTCAGGCAGGGCAGACGTCAGACTGGAGGTCACAAGCAGAGGGTCATAGAGGTGTGTGCAGGGGTGTTGGAAGCTCATTGTCAGATTCCATTCATTTTACACTTTTGTTCTACCCACAATAGAACTCTACTACCCAATCCTTTTGGCAAAATCTTCTACTTGAAGAGAAAGGTAGATATGCTAAAGCGAGACTTAGATTTGTGTCAAACTCCACCAATTTCTAGCATAGGCAAGTTACTTGACCACTTTGGAACTCAGATTTCTCCTCTACTAAATGAAATTGTATTTAGTCATCTCTAAGTCCCTTCTTTGTTCTAAAATTTCTAGATCCCAAGCATTTTACAACCTTGATGGACTTTGTATCATAGAGCAAAAAACCCTGAGTTTATATTCACTTATTTTATTGTTTGCTTCAGATTGGGGCCGTTGTTGGTGGGGTCCTCCTTCTGGTGGTCGCAGTTGCTGGTGTGGTCCTGGCGAAAGGATCTTGGAATTCAGACATCACCCTTCTGACCATCAGTTTCATCTTTCCTTTGATTGGCCATGTCACGGGTTTTCTGCTGGCACTTTTTACCCACCAGTCTTGGCAAAGGTATAGTTAAACTATCCATAAACTTTTTTGAGGAAGGTAAATTTAACACACTGCCACTGGTAGGCTTTGCTGCCTGTGTCAGGAGACATGAAGAGTTTTGACTTACATAGTGGAATCGACAGGATAACTAAGCATAAAAGAGGGTCATTCATGGCAATTCATGGAAAATATTGTGGTAATTCTTTATGTAAATTAAAGCAAAGGCCAAATTGATAGGAAGAGATAAATTTAAGTTAAAAAAGAATAGAAAACGACATGATTTGATTCCCACTTCGTAGAAGAAAGCAAAAAGAATTCTATGCATCAAAATATACTGGAAGAAATACACCATATGGTAACAATGTTTAATTTTGAGTAGCGAAATTAAGGATAATTTTAGTTCTTTAGTATTTCCTTGGTATATTTTTGAAGCTTTTCAATAAGTATGTACTACTTTTAAAAGCAGAAAAAAATTACTAAAGAAGAGTAAACTATGCAGTTGAATTCCAAAGGTGAAAGTTGGGAATTTTTAATTGGCTTTATGCTACTTCTAATCCACTTGGGGAACATTTAGGGTTGTACTAAGCGCCCGGTAAAGCTTTACCCCATCTATCTCATTTACTTCTTACTACAAGCTTGAGAAGTAGATCCTATCACTACCCTCATTCTACTGATGAGCAGACCCTTCAGAGAAATTAAGTGACTTGACCAAGTTCATAGAGCTAGAAAATTGTGGAGTTAGGATTTGGACCTGGGTTTGTTTCCAAATTTAACAATTAGGAACACAGTCTGTTGAGTGGTTGAAATGCAATTGGCTCTGGACAGAAAGTACTCCTATGGCAAGATGTAGTCCACAATCCCATCTTTTTCATACCTGATAGCCTGACAAAGCCCAGGACTGAGATTTGGCTCATGAATGGTGCAGGTGTGAGTTCCAGCTTTGTAGCTTAATCATATCGAGTTTTTGACAAAAGTCTCAAAGAAGTGAGGGTGGTTTGAGACAAGTGTAGCAAGCAATAGAATAAGTAGAAATAACGTATGAACACAGAGCTTGCCCTGTACCATTGACAGCATTTTCACCCCCTCATTACACACCCTTGTTACTTCCCCATTCCAGTCCAGCTTGCACAGAGGTGCTTGTTTGTTTTCTGAAACACCTCTTTTATCTCCTCACTTCCACATATAAAACACTGCAGGCTCCCTTTATAAACTGGAGACGTGAAACTGCTTAACTCAGCCCTCAACATCCTGCCCAGGTCTTCCCTCTATTCCCTCCTTTGTCTTTTCAAATGAGGTTTACTTCATTTTATGCAACCAGAAAACCAATAAAGTATAGAAAAGTAGAAAGCAAAAAGAAAAATTATTACCAAACTCTTTCACCAAAGATAATCATTTTAGGAATTTGGTCTTTATTCAGGGTTTTTGTGTTTTTATTTATTTATTTATTTATTTATTTATTTATTTATTGAGACCTCGTTGCCCAGGCTGGAGTGCAACCTCTGCCTCCTGGATTCAAGTGATTCTCGTGCCTCAGCCTCCCGAGTAGCTGGGATTACAGGAGCGTGTGCCACCACGCCAGGCTAATTTTTGTATTTTTGGTAGGGACAGGGTTTCACCATGTTGGCCAGGCTGGTCTCGAACTCCTGACCTCAGGTGATCCACCCACCTTGGTCTCTCAAAGTGCTGAGATTACAGGCGTGAGCCACTGTGCCTGGCCTTGTTTATTTGTTTTTAAGTGTTGGTTAGTTTATATTGTTTCATATGTCTTTCAAAAATATATATACGTTTTTCTTTTTGTAGAGACAGGGTCTTACTCTGTTGCCCAGGGTGGTCTTGAATTCCTGGCTCAAGCAATCTTCCCGCTTCTGCCTCTCAGTGCTGGGATTCCAGGCATGAGCCACCATGTCCTGCATCATATCTCTAACTCAACTTTCCATTCTTGTCTCCTCCAGTCCTCTCCTCTCTGCAGATTGGCTTACAGTATATGCAATGCCTGCTGAACAGGCCACACTCACACCTCTCCCTGGAACTTTAATTTTTATAATATTTCCCCCTCATCAAAAGCTTCTTCTATTTTTTTCCATCCTTAAATCCCACTCCTCTGTGAAGCCTTCTCTCACCCCTTCTGCCATTTTCTAAATTTCTACATCTGCGTGGCCTTTGGCCATACTTTGTCTTGTGTTGTTGCTGAACCTCTCCTGTGTGTTTATCTTGTCTTTTTACTCAGATGCCTAGGGCAGGGTTTGCAAAGCCTCACTCCACCGTGCCTCTCAGAAGACCACCTGCAGAATAGGCACTCAGCAAATAACTATGGAATGAGTACACATTTTCAGTGGCCTGAGGTCATAGCTTCTAATTGTTATGATGCATATGAGAAAATATTAGAATAGTTCTTATTGCTAGTGCGTTACTCTTGAAACATTTTCTTTTTGGTAGGTGCAGGACAATTTCCTTAGAAACTGGAGCTCAGAATATTCAGATGTGCATCACCATGCTCCAGTTATCTTTCACTGCTGAGCACTTGGTCCAGATGTTGAGTTTCCCACTGGCCTATGGACTCTTCCAGCTGATAGATGGATTTCTTATTGTTGCAGGTGGGTGAACACCCATTGGGTAGGAAATAACTGACGGGAAATTGTTCACCCCAACTTACCAACTTTTTTTTCAATCCAAACTTGCATGTGCTGCCCCTGTGATACACTTTTTGAAAGCCTGACATTTCTGGGGACGATAAGGCACATAGACAGGATAGTTTGGCGCACAAGTGGGAGTTTCACAGAAAAATATAAAAAGCCATCTGAAAATGAGCTTATAATTATAAACAAATATACTTCACAAAAGTGAATCCACTATCAGAACTTAGACTTCGTAACTTGTTAAGACAAGATCTCTATGAGCAATCATTGAGCTCCAAAGTGACATTTGCTGCACTTAAGCGTTGATTTGTTAGGTCTCATTAAAAGCCTTGAGGTCTCCCAAATGCCAAGTTATTTCAATGTTTCTGTGACTAAGACTTGTGCTGAATGGCTGTGAAATGTTTTTCAAATATTAAATATTACACATATACAAATATTGAAATATATATGTGTATGCACATGTGATTGCAGCCAAATATACATTACTTTGGAGTCTTTTATTATGTTTGTTCACAGAGGGTAAATTTAAAAATATATATAATGCAAGAACAGAAAACCAAATACCTCACTTACAAGTGGGAGCTAAACATTGGGTGCTCATGGACATAAAGATGGCAATAATAGAAACTGGGGACTACTAGAAGAGGGAGGGAGGGGGCGAAGGTTGAAAAACAAACTGTTGGGTACTGTGCTCACTACCTGCGTGATAAGATCATTTGTTTCCCAAACTTCAGCATCACACAATATACCCAGGAAACAAACATGCACATGGATCTAAAAGTCGAAAAAGAAAAAAAAAAATATATATGTTCACATACACATATATATTTTAATCTTGGGCCATGGTAAATTTTTGCTGCTGTTAGGGAATTGGGTCTGAGTAAGACTCAATGATTACTGATAGAACTGATTATATACTGATTGCTGATTGTTATTATTATATACTGATTACAGATATAACAATCAATATAACAATATCAGGAATACCTGGGGCTTAATTTCCCCAACAGATAAGATAAATCCTATTAGAGTCAAACTCTTGGTCTCAGACCCAAGTTTTCTTTCCTTCTCATGGAGAGACTGAAGCAAGCATCATTTCTGGCTCATTCCCAGCTCTAGCCCAGAACCCAGGAGAGTGTCCTACTTCTAGTAAGCACTCGCAGTATTTGCCAGCTGACTAGCTGAATGAGTGAATGAATGAATGAATGAATGAATGAATATATGAGTGTGTAAGCTGTCAGCAACCTGATGAATGAGCCTCAATCACAAATGGTTCATCCAGACAAAAGAGCCATTCTGATACACTGAATCCTTCTGTTCTATAGCTTTCTCTCTTTCCCCCTTCTTTTCCCTGGGTGTTTATACATACATGATGCCACTGAAACAAACACCTGAAGGATTGACAAGTGTACAGTGTCACCAAATTAGACTCTTTGTTAAAGTGATTGTTAATACTTGTATGTTTTAACACCTAGCATATCAGACGTACAAGAGGAGATTGAAGAACAAACATGGAAAAAAGAACTCAGGTTGCACAGAAGTCTGCCATACGAGGAAATCGACTTCTTCCAGAGAGACCAATGCCTTCTTGGAGGTGAATGAAGAAGGTGCCATCACTCCTGGGCCACCAGGGCCAATGGATTGCCACAGGGCTCTCGAGCCAGTTGGCCACATCACTTCATGTGAATAGCAGGGACTAGCTGGCTGGACTGGCCCCCTTCTTTTTCAGTGGCCAGTAAAGACAGTGTGCAGCTGACACATGAATCTTGTTGGTAGGGCCAGTGTGAATATTTAAGTGTTCAATGTTAGAATATTTATATTTTCATGTGGATTGTGAATTGTGATGGGATCACTTTTGGAGATTCCCATTTCAGGGAGTTTCTTCTGGGGGTTAACATAACGTATCAATGAGCTGCCTTGTATGTTCTTGTCTTCCCATGCAGCAAATAGTACCTGGCAGTAGGTAAAATCCTTCATTAGGGGAACTTATCCTTATGTTGTGGATTTTTTTTTTTTGAGACAGAGTCTTGCTCTGTTGCCCAGGCTGGAGTGCAGTGGCACAATCTCGGCTCACCACAACCTCCGCCTCCTGGGTTCAAGTGATTCCCTTGCCTCAGCCTCCCAAGTAGCTGGGATCACAGGTGTGTGCCACCATGCCTGGCTAATATTTTGTATTTTAGTAGAGATGGGGTTTCACCATGTTGGCCAGTCTGGTTTCGAACTCCTGGTCTCAAGTGATCTGCCCGCCTCAGCCTCCCAAAGTGCTGGGATTACAGGCATGAGCCACTGCGCCCAGCCACGTTGTGGATTTTAATTGAACAAGAGTTAGAACTCTAAGTAGAGGAGATGTCACCTCATACTGCAGGGTGACGCAGACCTATGTGACTTCTTGACTCTGGGCAGGTCCTCAGGTGCACTGAGAGGAGAACAAATAGCTCTTATAATAAATGGGGCAGTTTTCTCAAATGATTATTATTTTTAAGAAATTGAAAATCATTTTGATTATAGATGTAACACAAGCTTGGAAAGAATTTAAAACACACATACGGTTAAAAATGGAATGCCCTGTATTTTCACTTTCTAAAGATTGACACATGGTTGGGCACAGTGGCTCATGCCTGTAATCCCAGCACTTTGGGAGGCTGAGGTGGGCAGATCACCTGAGGTCAGGAGTTCAAGACCAGTCTGGCCAACATGGTGAAACCCCATCTCTACTAAAAATACAAAAATTAGCCAGTCATGGTGGCATGCACCTGTAATCCCAGCTACTTGGGAGGCTGTGGCAGAAGAATCACTTGAACCCAGGAGGCAGAGGTTGCAGTGAGCTGAGATCACGCCACTGCGCTCCAGCCTGGGTGACAGAGTAAGACTCTGACTCAAAAAAAAAAAGAAAGACCCATGTGTATCCTTCTAAGCTGTGTATGTAAACTGTATCATTTTAAGAACCTTGAGATCATTCCATATATTGTTTTGTAAGTCACTTGATGACACATTATGGAACATCTTTGAGTGTCAGTCTGTGTTGACCTACCTCATTCTTTAGTATAGTAGTGATGTGGAAGTATTCTATTGTGTGGAAGGACTGTAATTTATTTAACCACTCCTTATTCATGGACACTTAGATAGCTTTCAGCTTAACAGTATTACAGTGCTGTTACAAACACTTTTGCCTTTAGGTGCAAGTATTTCTGTAGGCTCACTTCCTGTGACTTGAATTTCCAAGCCAATTGCTTACCGAAATGTATGACAGATTGCTATCTGGCAACGTTGTACAGCAGTGCCTGAGAGGGCCTGGTTTCCCACAGTCTCACCAGTCAAATGAATGATCAATTTTGATTGGTTAAAACATCTCATTTAAAATTTCATTTAGGCTGGGCGCGGTGGCTCACGCCTGTAATCCCAGCACTTTGGGAGGCCGAGGCGGGTGGATCACGAGGTCAGGAGATCGAGACCATCCTGGCTAACACGGTGAAATCCTGTCTCTACTAAAAATACAAGAAATTAGCCTGGTGTGGTGGCGGGCGCCTGTAGTCCCAGCTACTCTGGAGGCTGAGGCAGGAGAATGGCGTGAACCCAGGAGGCGGAGGTTGCAGTGAGCCGAGATCATGCCACTGCACTCCAGCCTGGGCAACAGAGCGAAACTCCATCTCAAAAAAAAACAAAAAACAAAAAACAAAATTTCATTTAAAAACTGAATGAACTAAAGCATTTTTCACAATCACTTGGCAACTTATGTCCTTTGCCTGCTTTTCTATTGTATCTTTTCCTTTTTGATGTATAGATTTTGAACCATAATGATAAGTGACAATGTGTCCTATGTTTTGTCAACATTTTACCTACTCGTTTATCTTTTGTTACTCTATGTCTTTTGCAATACAGAGTTTTATTTTTTTAATATATTCAGCTTATTAATCTTATTAAGAATGTTTTTTTTTTGCTCTGATCTCTGCCAAATGTTAGCATATTTATATATTTGTGTGGATTGTGAATTGTGATAGAATCTTTTTTTGAGAATGTATTTGGCCCCTTTTCAGGGAGTTCTTTCTGGGGGCTTACACAACATATTTACTAGCTGCTGTGTGTACTTCTTGTCTTCCCATGCAATACATGATGCCTGGCAGTAGGTAAATCTGTCCTCTACTAGAAATTATTAAAAATATTTTCCCATATGTTTTTCTAATACTGTGATGGAGCAAATACATACATACTTATTCCATTTTGAATTTTTCCTGTATGGCATAATAATCTAATTTTTTTATAGTTAATTATCCAAACATCATATATTGAATCATTATTCTTTTATCTACTGATTTGAAATGCTACCCTTATCACATAACTTCCTATATAATGTGTTTTTGTTGGGACTCTGGTTCCATTTTGTGTCTATTCTTATTTGTAAGTTTTGAAATGTGTGAGAAAGTGTTTTGAGATTTAATGTTTATAATGTTATTTTGTAAGTATTCCCAATAACTTGTGGGTTAATGCAATGACAATGATTATTGTATTTTCCACCAATTCAGAAAGCCTTTGTGGTAGTACAGAAGGAGCCCCATTAGGTCTTAGAGCCACGGCACTTTTTATATGGAAAAGAACTATGCAGATTTGTGACTTGTTAATTCTCAACTGTTGGTTTACTATTCGGAGAGTCCCCTTTATCCATATGATAAATGTTTACATAATGAGAAGCTAGTCTGTGCTATGTTCAGGCACATGGGACATGGCTCCTGCCCTCACAAAGTTTATAGTCTAGTAGGGGAATAGATCACTGCAATGAACACAGTTAGGAGAGTTGCAAGTAACAGAGATTTCCAGCTCTAAAATGAGTATTACCGTGAGGTTTTTTTTTGTTTGTTTTTTGTTTTTTTTTTGAGATGAAGTCTTGCTCTGTCATCCAGGCTGGAGTGCAGTGGCGCGATCTCAGCTTACCGCAACCTCCACCTCCCAGGTTCAAGCAATTCTTCTCCTGCCTCAGCCTCCCCAGTAGCTAGAACTACAGTCACGTGCCACCACGCCTGGCTAATTTTTGTAGTTTTAGTAGACATAGGGTTTCACCATATTGGCCAGCCTGGTCTTGAACTCCTGACCTCAAGTGATCCGCCTGCCTTGGCCTCCCAAAGTGCTGGGATTACAGGCGTGAGCCATCGTACCCGGGCTCCATGAGTTTTAAAGAATCCACAAAAAATGAATTTCTAAATTGTTTCTCCACATAGACACCTAAAACAAAATGGTAAAATTTAATGCTGTTCTGAAAGCTTAACAATATGGTCAGTATTTACAACAGTTAGGACGTTCCAAGGATGAGGGACACCAAAAGGATGAGGGATACCAAAGGCCATCCTTTAAGATAGAAACAACACATCAGAAGATGGCCATCTCCATAGATGGTTTGTAAACATGTTACTGACAAGAACTTGAAATAGTGAAGATGTTCAGAAGGCCACGTTATCTTTAGAACAAAAAATATAACTGGAAAAAAGTCCGATTTGAGTAAGTTGCATTCTAATTGATGTAAAGAATCATGAGTTAATAAAAGCTGGGACCTATATGAAACTCAGAAGTGGGGCCAGAGAAATCATGTTAAGCAGAATGAGTCCATGTCTAAGAGGAAAGAGGCAGCTGGATGGTCGTGGCAGCAGAGTGCAGTGGAGAGAACACAGGCTGTGTCAGGGCTGCCTGCATTCCACTTTTTTTTTTTTTTTTGAGTTGGAGTTTTGCTCTTGTTGCCCAGGCTGGAGTGCAATGGCGTGATCTCAGCTCACTGCAACCTCCGCCTTCCAGGTTCAAGTGATTTTCCAGCGTCAGCCTCCCGAGTAGCTGGGATTACAGGCACCCGCTACCACACCTGGCTAATTTTTGTATTTTTTTTTTTTTAGTAGAGATGGGGTTTCACCCATGTTGGACAGGCTGGTCTCGAACTCCCGACCTCAGGTGATCCGCCTGCCTGGGCCTCCCAAATTGTTGGGGTTACAGGCGTGAGCCACCGTGCCCAGCCTGCATTCTACTTTAATAGCTAGGAGACCTCCACAGCTATTGGTTGAAGTCAGTCAGAGCTGAAATTGAACGTTTACCTTGGGTATCTGGGCAACTTTGGGCAAGTGACAATCCCTCTGGGGTTTAGTTTCCTCTCTAAAAAAGGTTGATAACACATTCAATCCTGAACAACCTGAAAACGAGGCAAGGTGAAAACACCTGGTCCAATCCATAAGTGATCAATACTTGTTACATCCCCTACTTTTTTCTTGTGTAATCAGAAATACCCTTTGCGTCGAGGATCATTCAGCCTAACCCAGTTAATGAATGACATGTTGGTCTCTAGGCAACCTTCCCATTGGCCTTGACATGTACTTTCCCCAGCAGGAGGAGCCCCTTCTGAATGTCCAGCCTTCCTCATTCTGTTAGACCCACCTATAGCTTCCTTGTAAGCTAATAAATCAGCAACATGGTTTATCAGTGTCCTGAGGTTTTGCTTAGCACAACCTTTGGAATATGGTTATAGTTTGGTTGAGTGAATAAAACTATGTCTCTAAACCTGTAAAAATTGAAGACTACTTTTAAATACTTCCTATCAGTGAATCTCCTCAATAGTTACAAATTCAGAATCTTCTAAATATGTATGAAGATCTTGAAAAATTGGCATAGTGTTCGCTACCTTATACGGAATGGTGGAAACTGAGGCAGAATTGGAAAGGCACACACTACTTGCTGGGACCCAGTATCAATTGCTGTCTTTGTCCTTATGAACAGAATCAAGATATTGTTCATAGCTAGACAGCAACACATCTAGCTAAAAATAACTTTCTTGAAGCTAGAGATGGGCATCTGACAGATTTTGCTAAGACAGAAGGAAAAGTCTGCCCTTGACTTCTGGGAAATTTTGCTTTCTTGCCCTAGTACTGTTTGACCCATTTTCCTTGCCAATTCTTGTTTCTTTTCTGGAATGTGGATATAATAGCTGGAGCTGTGGCAGCCACTTCCAGGCCAAGGAAAGGCCAAGGATATTTATAGCGCTGTTGACATTCTTGAGCTATAGAATTAACTGCCTACTTCTGAGCAACTGCCTTCTGAGCTTGGTTTCTTAAGGAAAGAAAATAAACTCTAAGCCCTCTAGAATTTGTGAAAGGAAAATAAAAACTTGGGACCCCAATTCACTCCGCCAAAAGGAAAAAAATGAAGCTGAAAGCTGAGTCATGCAAGAAACTGCATTTCCTTTTGTTCCTAAGCAGATAGCTACAGATAAAAGGTTAAATATCTCCACAGGTAGTTACTCTACGTTCACCTTATCTATGTGCTGAGTGCAAGATAAATACATAACTATTTCCCTATCTGCTCCTTTTCTCCTGCAACATGTGGGTTCAGTGATGTGACCATACCCCTCTTCTTTCCCCTCCAGCTCACTTTTCTCCTTTAAATATTGAAACCCTCAAATTCATCTTTGGAGAAAGGCACAGACCACAGACTATTTCTGTGATTCCATGTCATTTCTTCCAGGCATGTCCTTCACCTTGGCAAAATAAACTTCTAAATTGAGACATGTCTCACATACTTATTGATTTACAACTTGTAGGCCTGTTTGGTTGCTTTTGCTTACTTGCAGTCAAATATAATCCCAAATTGATACAGTAAAGTTTCGATTGGCTTTAAAATATTATGCAGGTCAGCCTATAATTTATTACATTTATCTCTACCATTACAATGTTTCTGAATTATGAATATTTCTGAATTATGTAAAATGGAAAGCCTATCATTATCAAGGTGTCTGTATCTGGAAGATAGGTGTATTAAGCTGTTTTTTAAATTTATTGGATTATCACATTACATATAGATAACTAGTCCTTTTTAAACCAAAAAATCTGGCAGGCTATCTGGGACCACTGATGTAAAAGAATCTTTTCTCAACAGCTGTTTATTTCCTGTTTGCCATAATAATTCAGAATTATCTCTACTAATGACATGCACTGAAGTTTTGATTTTGGGATAAAATTGTTTCTAATTCTGCAATGCTCAGGACTACACTAAGATACTCAATCTTTTAGAATAATAACGAGTTCAGTTTTGTAAATATATTCTACTACAATATGTGCTTCCCCTTCTATAGCATAGAGTTGTCACTGGCAATCATTTGGCCAGTTCTTGCTGATGGAATGAGTGACAGCAATGTGTTTTGCATGTAAGCCTGGCTCGTAAAACCTCTCCATAGGCAATCCTTCGTGGGGAATGGAGGCGATTCTCAACCTTGGAAGCTATGTGTTGATTACAGTACTTTCATCAGCCCGGGCTAAAAACTGAGCCAAGTAGATCTGATTGCCAAGCTGTTCACTTTTCCAGAACTGTTAGATAAACTAGAAATAAACTATTACGTTTAAGCCATTCCATATCTTCAGTTTATATTTTCTAGCACTTAGCTAATACAAGCTGTGTTAAGAGCTGAATTGTACTTATTCATTAATTTGAGATGAGTGTTTCCATGTGCCACCCCAGCTGCGTGGCCTCACCTTGCTTTCTAACCAGACTGGCCCTTGCAAGTGGCTCATACCATTCCATGCTGGTGCAGCCAGATCCCAGCTGAGGGCAGTAACATATTTACCATCATGAAGTTTCCATTCATAGGTCATAAAGCTAAATCTGCATTTTCTTCCCCCCATTCCATTTCCTAGTGACATTCGTTCCAGAAAAAGCAACCTCCAGCTCCACCCTCTCCCATCTATGTTGACTTCAGATGCGAGCTAATCACCTCCAGCTGTACTGGCCCCCAGCGCTCTGCTGGCCTAGTTTCACATGCCAGTGCAGGAAAACAAGGCCTCATGATTCCAACTCTTTCAGAAAAGAGATTTCCAAATGTCATTTAAAGCAATAGAAACCTTTTTTTCAAATGAAATCTCCGGCTACAACCCAATCTATAATACTCTTCTGATTGAAGTGGGAATGGTAAAGCTTCTCTTGCCATATTCAGAGCCAATTCTGAGGTAGGACCCAAGCCTCTTATCTGCTGGGGCTTTAGCTAGTTACTGTGGGGCTTTATGTTTATTGATACTGTCTTCTGCCTTCAAATAGCCCCAGATTCTCGGGAATAGGTCCCAGCAAATTGCTGCACTTAAGTTTGGAAATTCAAGTCAACTAGCTCAGAACTGGTGCAGTCTTATGAGGATGAGCCAAGCAATTTCCTGGGTCTTAGAATGGTGTTGAGGCAGAAAAGAGTCTAGAGACAGGAAGCCCAAGGCCTTCTTGTAATTGGACTAAGAGGAAAACCCCACCTTTCCAGGACCAAGTAATGAGGGGCCAAATGCCCATGCCTCTCTGAACCTCCCCTCCCCTATGTCACAAATGGGTATGTCTGTAATTGGTCCATTCTGAAACTTTCATTTGCTTATACATCACAGGCAGGATGCCTCTGATTGGTTCTGGGCAGAATCCTGCCTCTGATTGGTCCTGGGCTGAATTCTTCATTTGTGTAGGGTGTAACCTATCAGAGGCCTCTAAAGGGTACTTAGGGGTGTTACCATGCTCTTGTAATTCAATAAAAGCCCAGGAACATTATAATCAGGGCTCTTGAGCCATGTGCTCAAGCCCACTTCCACTCTGTGGAGTGTACTTTCACTTCAAAACATCTATGCTTTAATCTTCCACTGCTTTGTCTGAGCATTTTGTTCAATTCTTTGTTCAACATGCCAAGAACCTGGACAACTCATGGTCAAGAACATCCATCCAGTTACAGTGTCGTGGCTGAATGGAGAAATACTGTTAGAATTAGAATTTAGTGAAATGAATTTAGTACTGAGAACAGAGAACCATTAAGCTAAAGCAGCTTTGAAGTCAATCTCTTTTCCTTCCTGTTTGCAGAACCAAATATACCCCCGCCCCCCAGGTAGTTTGATATGTTTTCTTTGATTAGCCCTTGGTCAGTTGAGTACTGTGGCTAGGACTTGAAAATATTCTGATTTATATATAAATTGGGCTCAATAAGTGGGCAACATTCACAAAGAGGTAGAAGGAAGAAAGACTGAATTTCTGAGCTACTGTTAAGCCAGTACATGACCCCCACATCAGTATTTAGTGAAGATCTATCAGGATCTCTGACAACACCTCTACTCTCCATGGCTGTCATGACTGAGGCCAACTAGGGAGATGGAAAGTGGTGTCTAGAGGTCCTTGTCTTCCCAGGGGCCTAGGTGTTGTTGAAAAATAACACACTGAAAATGTCTAATTTGTCTGCACACAGTTTTGGCTTGTTCATGTTTTAAGGTGTGTTTTTATTTACAAAGTGAGATAATGATTACAAACAGATGATGCAGTAACAAACAGATAACTGATAACTCCATTTTCATGAAAAAGTATATAAATATATTACAGGAAATTCTATATAGTAAACATTAGAAATTGATACAGTAAACATTTGCTACTTTTTTCTATGCCAATATTACTGTCATTTAAAGCTTAAATACTGGTTTCAAGTATCCCCTATAAAATAACTACTTTATTAAAATATTGGAAAACATTTTTGCTATAAACAAGATTGGTGCATTAAAAATAGACTCACCATGTCCTTGTAACAATGTCTGCTATCATCAAATGCTGCCTTTAATCATCCCTAAGATCTGCATTGTTTGGTTAGTGTTAAAATTTTGTAAATAATTATCATAGGTTAAAGTAGCTGTAAAAATACAGCATTTCAATATTTTTTATTTTCAAGAAGAATACCCCTCTAAGATAGAGGAGAACATGCATGTTGTATGAACTTGCTGCTCTGTGATCTTTATTTTGGATAGAGAGCAGGAGTCTGCTGGAGGTTAAGGAGAGAAATGGAAATGCATCCAGAGGCTCTTTTCATGTCACTTCAGAAGCTGAGGCTGCTGTTTTTGCTCTTCTTCTGCTTGAAGACGTGTCAGGACATAAAGGATGACTTGATAGCAGAAAATATATTGATCCTATGGCCAAAAAAAGTGAGATAGAATACTTTAGATGTATAATGTAAATATTATATATATATAGCTATACCACTATTGGAAGTGATGTTGGATGAGTTTTGAAAATATGGAAAAATTTTGTTAGAATGTTGAATGCAAGAAACAGGGTGTAGGCTGGGCGCGGTGGCTCACACCTGTAATCCCAGCACTTGAGGAGGCTGAGGCGGGTGGATCACGAGGTCAAGAGATCGAGACCATCCTGGCCAACATGGTGAAACTCTGTCTCTACTAAAAATACAAAAATTAGCTGGGCGTCGTGGCACGCGCCTGTAGTCCCAGCTACTTGGGAGGCTGAGGCAGGAGAATCGCTTGACACAGGAGGCGGAGGTTGCAGTGAGCCGAGATTGTGCCACTGCACTCCAGCCTGGTGACAGAGTGAGACTCAGTCTCAAAAAAAAAAAAAAAAAAAAAAAAAAGAAGCAGGGTATAGAATTGTGTGGTATTATAAAAATTATAATAGAAACCAGATTGGCAAAACAAGAAAAGAAAAAGCCTGAGGGATGCGGGATGGAACTATCCTAGAGTGCTAACTGAAGTTGTCTTTGATTGGTGGGCCACTACAATATTTTTTGTGCTTTGATTATACTTAGTGGAAAAATAACCTTCCTACATAATTTCTTCTGGATTTGTTGAGCTCATTTTGATGTTTTAAAATGTCAAAAAATTAACAGCTTAAGAAGCTATTCAAAATAATTGTCTTGCCAGGCATGGTGGTTCATGCCTGTAATCTCAGAGGCCGAGGCAGGTGGATCACTTGAGGCCAGGAGTTCAAGACCAGCCTGGCCAACATGGTGAAATCCCATCTCTACTAAAGTGAGGTGGCAGGCACCTGTAATCCCAGCTACTCAGGAAGGTGAGGCAGGAGAATCACTTGAACCTGGGAGGTGGAGGTTGCAGTGAGCAGAGATCACGGACTGTGCTCCAGCCTGGGTGACAGAGTGAGACTCCATCTCAAAAAACAAACAAACAAACAAACCAAAAAATAAGTCTTTAAATATTTTGGAACAAAAGCATGAAAATCAAAGTTCTTTGAAAATGAACTCCTTTGGTGAAATTATTTTCTATTAAGTTGATGGTGCAGAGATCTGACTTTTTTTGGCAAGGAATTGAGTCTGCAAATAAAAAACTCACAATATATTAAATGAAAAGTAATAAAACAACAACCACAGTTGAATCTCATTTAAAATAGCTACATGTGTGAGCTATTTTATATATAGTATGTGTGAGCATGAAGGAGTGTGCACATGTGTTTAGGACAAAGAATATAAGAACATCTCCTAAAAACATTAACAGCTCTCTGACAGTAGGAATACAAGTGGCCTTTTAAGTTTCTTTTTTGCTTATCTGTATTTTAACTTTTCCACACATTCATCCTTGACTCTTTCTCTGACACCACATACAACCCATTAGCAAATCTACTTCACATCACGTCCTGTTTCTTTCACTCTGTCCACACTTACCACTCCAGCTGTAGCCACCCCTGCTTGTCACCTAATTGATCTCTTTGCTTATAACACTACACCTTCCTCCCCAGACTTGGTGTCATTTTAACACAGCAGGTTAGTAGTCCTTTAAAATGTGAGTCAGATCACTGCCACTCCAGGCTCCCATTTCACTCAGAGAAAAGCCAAAGTCCTGGACCCTGTCACCTCCCCTCTAACCTCACCTCCTCCTTCACTCTTCCTTCTCTCGTGCCCTGCCCGCCACATTGGCTGTGACCATACCTGAACACTCAAGACCCTTGGACTTCCACACAGGTGGTCCCTCTGCCTGAAAGGCTCTTGTCCCCAGAGATCTACATGACCCTCTCCTTTGCCTTCAAATCTTTGCTTAAGTGTTACTTCGCCAATGGTGCCGCCCTGTTTAAAATCGTACCCCCAATCTGCCATGACTGATTCCCTTTACCTATTTCATTTTTCTTTTCTCTAAAGCACTTACCACTTTCAGGGATCCTATATAATTTACATGTTTAACATGTCTATGGTCTTCCATCCTTATCAGTATCCTGCAAGAATATCTTTGTTATTCTAGCAAGGATCTTTGTTTTATTCACTGATGTGCTCCAGGCACCTAGAAGAGTTCCTTTTTTTTTTTTTTTTTTTTTTTTGAGACGGAGTCTCGCTCTGTCGCCCAGGCTGGAGTGCAGTGGCGGGATCTCGGCTCACTGCAAGCTCCGCCTCCCGGGTTCACGCCATTCTCCTGCCTCAGCCTCCCAAGTAGCTGGGACTACAGGCGCCCGCCACTACGCCCGGCTAATTTTTTGTATTTTTAGTAGAGACGGGGTTTCACCGTTTTAGCCGGGATGGTCTCGATCTCCTGACCTCGTGATCCGCCCGCCTCGGCCTCCCAAAGTGCTGGGATTACAGGCGTGAGCCACCGCGCCCGGCCTAGAAGAGTTCCTAATACAAAGTAAGCACTCAATAAATATCTGTTGAATGAACAAATGAATGAATGAACTTTCTAGGTGTAAAGTGCTGCTTATAACAATCAAAATGTTTTCCTTACCTAAAAAGCGTGATTATAAATCAGCTTAATAGTTAGAAGACAAGTTGAATTAAAAAGGTTTATGAAAGGAAAGTAGGCAAATGCTAATTTTTAAAGATAGCAAATTTCCCTATTTTTCAAGAGGTAGAGAAATGTTAATTTATGGATATTTGAAAACGGCTTCTACATCCCCCACTCTTCCATTATAAACAAAGAGGATTGTGGAACTCTTCAGTGAAGACAGACACTCTAAATACGGCACTCCCTGTGAAGGACGCCATTGTGTCAGTGGGTGATGGTTTCCTTTCAGGTAAGAGAAACGAAAATCATCAAAAGAGGATAAATGGACCCATGTATTCACACTCCTTACAGAATGTCTTCTTGAAGCTAAGCAACTCCAGCCTGCCTTGCTGTGTTCCAGTCAATGCTGATGAATCCATTACTTCTCAGGGAATTTCTGTAGCAAGAATGTTACCTTCTATCTCTTTTTCAGGTTGGAAATAGGGAAGGAATGCCATTAATTACATAGTATTTTGTACCATTCTCAAACTCTGTCCCCAGCATGCTATCCCATTCTCTGTAATCTCTTCAGTGCAGATATTGCATTTTTAAATTAAAAGGCAACATTTTAAAAAGCTTGGAAGTATTTTAATTTTTTTCTGAATTAGTCCTCATTTAAAAAAAAATGCCCCTCACTGCAGTAAATGTTTGGTTTTATGCTCTAACATGGGAACTCTCAAAAAAGAAAAATGGTTTAATAAGAACCTTAAAAAATATTAGAATCTTTACAAAAATTCTCATTAGGAGGCCCAGCCATGACTCACCTCTGTCTGAACCATTCCGTGTCTTTGTAGTCTCATGCAGCGCACCAAATCAGAGATGTCAAACTGTCAGAGGAAACCACATATGTGTTAGATTCAAAGGATAACTGGATTTGAATCTCAAAAGGATCACAGAGGGGAGGCTTATGTAAAATTCTGTATCCCACTCTTCTTCCCCTTCTGGTAGTCTTGGGAAACTCTCCTGGACAAAATGACTTGGCGAATGGACTTTGTCATCACTTGGTATTCTTATTTTTTATCTTTCTAGGAATTAGGGAAGGTTAATCTATTTGAAAATCCCCCAAAGAAAAGAAATCATCTTCCCCCTGAAGTGTGACTAATTTCTAATATTACAATTTAAAAAGGTAAATTATTTTTCCTGCACACTGCTCTTCCGCTAAAGGTGTTTCCAACCTAAAAAAGATCTTTTGACTTCAGCTGACATTGAACAGTTGGAAATGAGGGAAAAAAAGACTATTTGGTTTCATCCTACTTAAATTACTACAGCTAGTGTGTAAAGTGCTTTTAACTAAAATTCTTTTTAAGACACTATGATTTTAATTACACATTATCTATGGTAAGATATTCTAAAATTTTAAATAAGGTTTATATTAATTTGAGTTCAAAAGTAAGATTATACTCTTATAGTAATTTTTTTATGTAGAGTAATTGTTTAGAAACTACTTAGCATTAATTTTATAATAAAATATACATTTTTTACCCATAGATAATACAAAAATACAAGCTTTTTCATTAAAAAAATACTTTCCTTTGTGCTTCAATTATTTCTATCTTTAAAGTGTGATAACAATACTATCTTATACAAGCCTAAAGACTATAAAGGGTAAAATGAAATACTGCATAAAAGGCCTCTGAGCACACAGTTAAAAAACACCCAGTAAAACAAGTATAAAATTGAAGTATTATTTTTTGTTGATCACGGTCTATGTAGTTTTGAATACCAATGTTTACAAAAATACAATTTTCTATAATAATATAAGAAGAAAATGAAGGCAGTCATATAAACTCATAAGTTAAAATATCCCAAGATCACAACACATTATCAAAAATTAGACTCCATCATTATTTCTGAACAAATGCTTACTCAGCCAATATCTTGTACTCACATCAAGATCCTGACTGATTAATCCCAGAACCACATCTATGCAAATCAGGGTCCCTGAACGTCCAATGCCAGCACTGCAGTGCGTAATGATTGGGCCTGATCTGTGGATGTGTCTCATGTAGGAGATAAAAGTAAGCAGATCATCTGGTTGAGAAGGTGTATCATGGTCTGGCCAGGCAGTGAAATTCAGATGAGAAATATGGCGCACCTCTCTGGTCTGAAATTGTATAACAGAATAAGTGGATCATGACATGTTATATTGTTCACATACAGTTAATTCTTTTTTTTCTTTCTTGAGATAGGGTCTCGTTCTGTTGTCCAGGCTGGAGTGCAGTGGTGCAATCTCGGCTCACTGCAGCCTCCGCCTCCCAGGTTCAAGCGATTCTCCTGCCTCATAGTAGCTGGGATTACAGGCGCACATTGCCACACCCAGCTAATTTCTGTATTTTTAGTAGAGATGGGGTTTCACCATGTTGGTCAGGCTGCTCTCGAACTCCTGACCTCAACTGATCCACTCACCTTGGCCTCCCAAAGTGTTGAGATTACAGGCGTGAGCCACTGTGCCCGGCCACAATTAATTCTTAATATTATATTGTGCTTTCAAATTTTGGCTTGTCTATAGGATCAGATCAAAGGAAAAGTGGAAGAAACTAAATGGCTCTATTAAGAAAAACATGGAAGGCCTCTATCAACAAGGTTGCTAGATCCACATTTTAAATATCGATAAAAACTACTTTTTGGAAACCCTAAAAACAAATTGCATTTTGATAACAACCTTTTCTGGTGACCCCATTCCAAATGCACCTCAGATAAAAGTCAGAGTCACTGCAACACTACCTAATCTGGCCCTGTTTCCTCTTAGACCTCACCTCCTCCTCTCTTTCCCCATGGCCACTTTCATCAAGCCAAATGATTCTCTGTGGCTTTAAATACAATGTGCACAGTTTGGTCTCAGGACTTTTGTACTGGCTCTTTCTGACTGGAATGGTTTTCTCCTCAGATATTCCCTCCATGGCTCACTCAACTCATTCACATTTTTCCTCAAATGCCATTTTCTCATACCTTCCCTGACTCCTTGTTGAAAATTACGACATACTTCTCATTCTCCCCCAGCCAATTGTCCTTCTCTATTTTTTTCCACAGCACTATCAATACTGGTATTTCCTCTTCAGAATGTAAGCTCCATGAGGTTAGAAATATTTTTTGTCTGTGTTGTTGACTGCCAAATCTCTATAAAGGGGTTGAGTTCTATAAAAATGTGTGGATTAAGTGGATAAATCACTGGAAGAATATTGAACAACTGTGCTAGCCTAAGTAATAGGTAAGCTAGTGTAAATCAATAAAAAATCATGAATCAAAAATTATGAGAGAAATTCTCAGGCTACATTTACATGACACCAATAGAACTGAATTGATATGCTTTGTTTCTATAAAAGTAAAATCACTGTTTCCTTAAGATAGCTAAATTTCTATGGGAAACATTACTCACATCTAGCTAGGATACTGTGCACAGGCGTGTAGTAAGGTGAGGGAGAACACAGAGTGAGGAAACAGTAGCAGCTTTACTTCAGGTATTGCCACTTATCTAATTCAAGCTAGATTGATCCAGTGGTTAGGTAACTGCAGTATGAATGATCTGAATAACAACTGTTTATGCTAAAATTATCCATGTATTCCTAAATATGTTAAGTTGCCTTTATGAGGGAATATTTTCTACTTAAAGATTTTAAAAGTAGTTTCAATGAGTCTACTTAGAGGTCTGACCATAAAAACACAAGTTTCCAACATGCAACTTCTGAGCCATTTTGTGCTATCACCAAGGATGATAATCACATTAAAAGTCCTGCATTTTCATTTCCATTTTAGTAGAGGACATACTGGAGGAAACTGGCAGAATTCATGAAGACAGTCACATTTAAACTTATATTACATAAAGAAAAAATAGCTAGCATTAGTTCCATTGCATGGGAACTAGGAAGTCACTGTCTTTTATCTAGAAATAACATTGGTGCAATCACGGAAAGAGTCCAGGCTTGGATTACAACTAGGAGATACACCTTCCAACAGGGAAAGATTTCATTCACTTACCTGAATATCTTCAAGGGTCATTGCCCTCACCACAAAGCCCTTCAGCTGCTGCATTCTCACAAGAGCCAGTCGAAGTCTGTTGCTGACCATTGTTGTTTTGCCTAGGATGTTGGGCCAATAGCGCTGGCATTTGATTTTTTCTCCTTCTACTTCTTGAGTCATCATGGCTATCACTGTGGATTTTTGCTCCCAAATCATCTGCCAGAAGTCTCCAACAGTTGTAGGCAGTGGTCCTTGGCAGGCAATGTAAACGAACTCTTCTTTCCCAACTGGTATCTTAATGAAGCTGGCATTGATATAGCCACCTTCATCTCCAAGAGGCACTCTTGTAGCATCATCTGTGAATTTTCCACCACAAAACAGAGCCATCCATATCATGCATTTTAAACAAGAGTCTTACAAATTGCATGAGTCAAAGATCATGAGAAATTCTCATAGTCACAGATGAAATCACCAACGTATTTTAATAGAAGTATATTTTCAAATTGTAGCACAGCCAAATTATTTTATGTTTATTCTTTTTGCTCATGTTACAAGTATCTAAGCTGTTAGTTTAGTGAGTTTCTGACATATGAAATTTGGTATTATTTACATAGATTTAGTTGAAATTAAAATTAGTAAGTTAATAAATGCATTTAGAATTGCCTAATAAGTAACTAGAGAAACAAAGAAAAACAACTGGTACTTCTCCATCATTATTTTAATGATGATGATGATAATAATAATAGCACTGAAAGGCAATGCCAAAAAATTTTTCATAGAACACAATTTAGTATTACAATAACACTATTAAAGTATATATTGCAAATGTTATTGGCATAATTAACTCTCACTCACCTAATAAAATTATATTCTTTTAATAAGCAGCCAAAACAATAAATTAACACAATAAAGAAAATAACAGCTCATTTTATTATCCAGGCATAAAGGCCCTTATCTTTGTTTTATTATAATTTCATATAGTCAAAATGTAATTTTTTAAACCAGGCTGCTCCAGTGAAAAGTATGTACAAGCTATCATTCACTGAGGTTATATTGTCTAAGATTTATCTAAGAGAATAAATTTATATGTATTACATACCTTAGAAGTTATTTCTATTTCTATTTCAAATATCTATAAATTTAACTGGTAATTACTGTGATTACCAAACTAAAACCTTTTAATGATAGGTTTCAAAATCCCCTACCAATTGCCCTTCTCACTTGACTTCTTTCTCTTAGTCCATACTGGTCATTTGTTTTGTGGGAGTAAATCCACTCATTAGTTTTGGATTTATGGCTTGTCCTATTCTGATTTTGAGATATTCAACTGGCCATTTTGCTGTCTAAAATAACTCCCATATACTTTATGCCAAACAGTGATCTGATCCATTTTTTAAATGTTGTCTAAGATTCATTTCTTACAGGAAGCTTTCCAAAATGAATTTGTACTTTCTATCTGGATTAGAAAAATACAATTGCATTATTACTTATCATGTGACTTGTCACTATTGATTTTTTTTATTATTTATCTTTAGATTTATGGTTTCTTGGTAAAGATAGGGTCAGTGTGTCATATGTTATAATCCAAAGTGCTAACATATATACATGTGGCTGGTAATTATAAGAATTTGCTAGAGGTCAGTATTTTGGCACACACATTCATACATAATTAAAAAAAATCACAGTGTGATTTTTTTACATGTGATTTTTATACATGTAAAAATTACTGCTTTTCTTTTTTTTTTCCTATTTTTTTTTTGAGATGGAGTCTCACTCTGTTGCCCAGGCTGGAGTGCAGTGGCATGATCTTGGCTCGCTGCAACCTCTGCCTCCCGGGTTCAAGCGATCCTCCTGCCTCAGCCTCCCAAGTAGCTGGGATTATAAGCATGAGCCACCACTCTCGGCTAATTTCTGTATTTTTCAGTAGAGATGGGGTTTCACCATGTTGGCCAGGCTAGTCTTAAACTTCTGATCTCAAGTGATCTGCCTCCCTCGGCCTCCCAAAGTGCAGGGATTAAAGGTGTGAGCCACTGCACCGGGCCAAAATGATTGCTTTTGTTCCCTTCTGGTATCTGAAATGTCTAATGTAGGCTGGTAGTACCACTGTAGTCATATGCATATATATACAGCTATTCATTACCATAGATATTTCTCTAAACTAAAAATAAGTGGAATAAATTGATGGTGGTTGTGATAAATGAATCCAACCAAGAAAATCCTCATCCAGAAGCCAGTTCCTATTTTTAAAAAGATTTTAAAATTAATGATTTGGCATCACCGACTAATTTCTAATACTGTATACTAGTAAAAATTCAGGAATATCCTATCAAATATTTCAGGTTCCTCTAACTGATTTTCAGAATACCTACATAATTTAAAAGGGGATTTACACGGAATATTTCAATGTATTTGTTACTGATATAAATCTGTGAATGTATGCACATGCACACGGTTATGTGAGGGATAGGTAAGTTAAACACAAAAAATTTTAATCCATTAATATTATACTGATCACATATTAAATCTGAAGCCAAACTGGAACTTACAGGGAAGTATATTTTTATATCTGTTCTTCCTTCTGTTTTCCTTAGTTTGCCCAATTAGACACTGATCCAAAGGTTTTAATTCTTGAAGATTCTGTAAGCAAAACATGGAAATAAATTTGTTGAGATAAGCAGTAATTCAGTAATAACTTCAAATACTTTAAATGTGTAGGGGCAAAATTGGTTGATTAAGGCTGATTCTGAGTGTTAAATACAGATGTCCTAAATAAGTCTAAAGTCAGTAGTGATTTGTTAAGTCAGCATTGAAATATATTGTTACAAGTATCTTTTAATTGAACACGTTGTAGTCAACTTTATGAGACAGAACTTTGTGTCTTAATTTTTAACTTCTGTTTAAAAGTGTTTATATTTTAGAAAAAAATACAATTAAAAAAACCCAACTCTGCCATAAAGTGATGAGCTAGAGCACAATTTATTGACAGTATAGTCTGTAAGGGTTATAGAATATTCCATGTGGTAGTGGTGTTGTGGTCAGATAGTCCTAGGTTCTAAAGTCAACTCTTGCTCACTTTTCATTCATTCGCTCATTCAAAAAATATATATTGCATGCTCATTATATGCAAGGTACTGTAATAAGTGATGGGAATACAGTGGTGAGCAAGAAGATAAGATTTTGGCTCTCCTGGCCTTTACAGCTTATTGGGAGAAAGACACAATAAAGAAGTAAACAAATATTGTAGTATATGCCTTGAAGAAATCAATAAGCTGCTGTGGTAAAGAAATCCTTATAAACACTACTTTGTAAGGGTTGTGATGGAACTTTTCTGATGGTGACATTTAAATCTAAGAACTTGAAGAACAAATCATTCCATAGCATGGCGATGAGAAGAGTATACCTTAATTACTGTGAGCCTCAGTTTCACAATCTATAACAGAATTAATATTTTGAGGAATATATACAAAGCAACAAGCACAAAGCAGAACCTCTTATTAAAGTTAACTCCTTTTAGTGGCTACAAAGCTTAGGAAGTAGGCAAATAAGCAGATGGTTTGAGGAAGAGGGGCAAGGTCAACTTCAAAACCACTCTCTTTTCTAGTGGTAAATATGGACAGTACCATGAGACCACAGGAGCTAGGGCTCTGAGCCATTGCTGCTTTGAACTAGGACACACATTCTTGGAGCTGTATTAAATTAGAACCTTCTGTTAATGATGAAACACGTCTACAATACACTAATTATAAAGTTTAGTGCATGGTTGAAATTTATACTTGGCTTTTTTTTTTTTTTTAAACATTTTTACCTTAACTATGAGGCAGGAAGGATAATCTTCAGGGAAATGTATCAAGTTCCAAGTAGTTAAAGTGATTCCTTTAAATCACTATTATTGGGATCCTAATCAGAAAAATTAATTTTCTGCTAGATATGATAAGGTGGTGCTTTTAGAGTTGGAAAATTTTCAAAAATTCTTCTAATCTTGGGCCAGTAAAGATACATTTTCCTTACAAACTAAATGCATACACTTTGGGAGAGAATCATTGGCAGAAGCCACTTACCTCCAGCTCCTTAGAAGGAATTCCTTGATCTAGCAAACCCCGCAGGACTCGAATGACTGATTTTAAGTTGGCACCCGTGTATTTACCAGAGGGAAGCACTTTGACGACAGGGAGTACAGCGAGCTCATCGTTTGTCAGAAAGGAATGATCTAATAGGAAGACAGCAATTTAAAAACAGTTCCTCCAGAACCAATTTAACTAAGTGAACTAATTTCAGCCTATGTTCACCTCATCTTACAAAAGGGAAAGTCTATTTATTTATTTAGAGATAGAATCTTGTTCTGTCGCCTACGATGGAGTGCAGTTCTGTAATCACAGCTCACTGCGGCCTTGATCTACCAGGCTCAAGGGATCTTCCTGCCTCAGTTTCCCAAGTAGCTGGGACCACAGTCATGCACCCTCTGTGCCTGGTTAATTTTTAAATATTTTTGAAGAGACGGGGTCTCCCTATGTTGCCCAGGCTGGTCTTGAACTCCTGGCCTCAAGTGATCCTCCTGTCTTGGCTTCCCCAAGTGCTGGGATAACAGACGTGAGCCACTGCACCTGGCTAGGAAGGTCTTTATTTTATTTTATTTATTTTATATATTTATATATGTGTGTGTGTATATTCTATATATATACACAATAAATATATATGTATATATGTGTGTGTATATATATACACAATAAATATATATGTATGTATGTGTATATATAAAAAATACATGTATATGTGTGTGTGTACCTGGCTAAGAAGGTCTTTATTTTATTTTATACACACACACACACACACACACACACACACACACACACAGTCTTATTCTGTAGCCCAGGCTGAAGTGCAATGGCACAATCACAGCTCAATGCAATGTCAACCACCTGTCTCAGGCGATCCTCCCACCTCAGCCTTCCTGGTAGCTGTGACTACAGGTAAGCACCACCACGCCTGGGTAATTTTTTGTATTTTTTTGTAGAGATGGGGTTTTGCTATGTTGCCCAGGCTGGTCCTGAACTCCTGGGCTCAAGCGATCCACCTGCCTTGGCCTCCCAAAGTGTTGGGATTCCAGGCATGAGCCATTGTGCCTGGCCAGAAAAGTCTTTAAATATGCAACAACTAATAATATTTCCCCCAAAACAGATTTAACTAACAAATGAACTAATTTCAGCCCATTCTCACCGCATCTTACAAAAGGGAAAGTCTTTAAATATGAGAGAATTAATAAGGTAATAGAATTAATAGGTAGGCTGATAACTACAATTAACACAGGAAAGTCAGCCCTAGCACACTCCCACACCCAGCTTTTAAGGAGATACCTCACTGACGTTCAGAAGTTTTTAAGGCTCTTGGCTCTCATTTATTTATAGTTTCTAAAGGAGTTTATGTTGTTTCTTTTTGCTTCTCTTGACTCATATGGCACTGTTTAAAAATTTTTGATAAGGGGTTTATCATGGGCAGCCTGGGGACAGCTTGCTTCTTTTCCCTGCAAAACCAGCCATAAAAAGGTAATTGTACTTAGTTCTCAGAATTTCAGAAACAACATAATAGGTAGGCAATTTTTAAAAATAAGTATTCTAGATAATAGTAAATGGGATTCTTTCAACAACAGAACTCTGTTACAGTGAGAGAAGATGAATTTTTCTGAAGAATCCCAAACTTCACAATATTCTCTAAGTTATGCTCCCCTGACTCCTTACACACCACACACACACACACACACACACACACACACACTAAAATCTTGATCTCATATATACAGAAAGCCTTTATAAATAATGGGAAAAGATGAAAAAATTGCAGCACATCAAACAAATACAAAATTGGTATGTGTTAAGACTAACAAATTATTTTAAAAAAACAGACTTTTGGTTAAATAAATACCTTTAAATTGTTCCAACAGAGCCAATGGAACCATCATTTTAGTAGGTAATTGAGAATTATAATGACAATATCCTTTGCTTCAATACTTTTACACTAAAATGTGACCATAAGTAAAACATATAAATTCTTTTTACGAACAGCTTGATTGCAGAAAACCAAACATATTTCAGATATTTCTTAGCTTAGTTTTTCTTAAACTGGGCTCTGCTGACCCATGGAGGCCAGTATTTCTACATAAGCATTTAAAAATTTTGTTTTAATTTCAAGATAATATAAAAAGCACATTCTAGATCACCTGAATAACCAACTCATAACTAAACACTGAATTATTTCAGTGCCTTGAATTGCAATGTGTTGCTCACCCTGGCACTAGTAGAGACTGATAATCTAAAATAATGGCATTAAATGTTATTCAAACTGGTTCATAAACATTCTCAGTGCTTCTTAGGTTCTCAAATTTGAGAAATGCTGTCCTAAAGTTTTACAAGTATGCTTAGCTGTAACTGAAATTCTAATCTGCATAACACATGCAACTTAAACTTTTACCTGCCCCCTCACCCCCCAAAAAAACCTCAGGAACTCATTACAAAAAATTATCAAATTTAATTCTGTTACTACTTTTCATTTAAATTAGCTTCTAAGCACATGGTGAAAGTAAGAGAGACACTTCAGAAATTCCTTAATATGGGAGATTACTCCAGGAACACTGATTTCTCTCTTCACCATCCATCCTTGGCACTCAGGGCCAGTTATCCCTGGTGTTCGATAGTTTTCTCCATGCAAATAAAGAATTCCCTTGAATTCTTTGGGAGTTGAGTCAACTATCTTAGAAGAGCTATGGGTCTAATTTAGTACCTGCTGTATGGAAATTATTTATAATTGAAGGCAACTGTTATCCTAGAAAAAGGGAAGGGAAACGTCTTGCTATAGACTGCACAAGTGTAGCTTTAATTATGTCAATCAGCTGATTAAAGCATTTTGATGATGCAGCTAAGATATAGGCAGCAATGATGCTGGCACTGTGAGGGACACAAAACTATACAAGACACCTAAAAGGTTAACATTTAGCTCGGGCAGAGGTTGGCTGGGAATACAAAATTTACTCATATGAAATAACTTTTACAGAACTGCATGTCAGTGCAACAGGAACTTAAAGGCTGGGTGGATGAGCAAGGGCTACAGTGCTGGACATGCATGTTGTACACATACCAACAGTCTAGCCAAGTGAAGAAAGTGTTAATTAAACTAACTTCCTTCCTCCCTCCCTTCCTTCCTTCCTCCCTCCCTCCCTCCCTGCTTTCTTCCCTTCTCTCCTTCTCTCTCTTTCTCTCTCTCTCTTTCTTTCTTTCTGACAGGATCTCACTCTATCACCCAGGCTGGAGTGCAGTGACGCAATCTCGGCTCATTGCAACCTCTGCCTCTGGGGTTCAAGCGATTCTCCTGTCTCAGCCTCCCGAGTAGCTGGGATCACAGGTGCCTGCCACCATGACCAGCTAATTTTTGTATTTTTAGAAGAGACGAGGTTTTGCCTGTTGGTCAGGCTGGTTGAACTCCTGACCTCAGGTGATCAGCCTGCTTTGGCCTCCCAAAGTGCTAGGGTTATAGGTGTGGGCCAGCACGCCCAGCCTAAGCTGTTAATTTCTTAAAAAAAAAAAAAATAGACTTTGCTTTGAATGACAAAACCGTGTTCTTTCATTATAGTGACACTTCCTGATATAAAATAAGACGAATTAAACACTGGATAGAATTTCATTTCTCCATTGGCTCAGTAATAAAATGAAAAGGCAGTAATAGTGAAACAGACCAATTGATTCCCGATCATAAAAGATGA